>NC_000005.10:167276475-167579505 GCF_000001405.40 Homo sapiens | reverse complement strand
TCTGGTGCAAGCTGCAACTTTGGAACTGCATCAAAATGTGGTTGGTGCCTAACAAATAACAGACAATAATGATATGATTGTAAATTCCTATTATACTAAGACACATATCTCCAGTGAATATAAAAATGTGTATGTTATGGATTTGTGAGTGCTGATTTTTGCAGGGCTTTTAGAACCCTCTGCAAACACACAGTGGCAAAACAGTCAAATGAGGCAGGCTGGAGGAAACAGAAAAGAAAATCCAGCTACATTCAAGGTACGAGACAATAATTTCTAAGCCTTTGGGATCTATTTTTTTCCTTCCATTGTAATGCAGTCAAGTGCATGAGTGATGCCTTTTGTGTTTGATAATGTCAAGTGTGAATGTCATGGGCAGCACCCCATCTCTGATAGTATTAAAATGGTGGGAAGATGGAAAGCTTGGAAAAGTAAATGGAACAAATTAAATTAAAGTGGTTGGAGGACAAGGAAAGTCACTCATCTACAGTTTGGTTTTGAGGTGATGTTGGTGACCGTGTCCACCTGAATAGGCTGGTAAAATCCGTGTTACAGAAGAAAAGCATGACACTCTACTTACTTAATTGTACTAATAATTATTTTTGCTCCTTCTCATCGTGAACTCTGTTGAAAAGAAAACAGCTTATATGTTCACATATAAACTTCCATTATATAGTTAGAGTAGTCTCCACAGCTGAGCTTGTCAGTCAAATACACTAGACGTCAAAGAGTTCAAGGTAAGTTAGTCAAGGTTTATAGAAAGTAACTGACAACACAGGCAATTCAGAGAGGCAATTAATTCTAATAAATAAAGTATATATGTTTTTAGAGAGATGAAAACCCTTAAAGATCATAAAAATCCATCCTAATCAATGTCAAGAAACCAGAGATGAACATAACACTAATTGATTATACTGAAATAGCATGGAGAGAACATCACACCTTCTAAACCACGGGTCTGATCTCCAACGAATGGTGAAGGTTTTTCTTATGAAAACATGAAAACAAATGCATATACACAAAATCCCTGTCTAATGAGGGCATGACATCTGCAGTACAAACAAGAAATTGCAATAATTATAATACGAAGGTGTTTCTCGTAGCCAGTCTCCGTTCCCCAGCGTTTCTCAACCTTACTGCTGAAGTCTAGGCTAATGCAACAGATTATTCACAGGCTTCCAGCCTCTGGACCAGGAGTTCTCAACAGCATTGCTACAAGGGGAAGATATAGGCTACTGGTAGCAATACCTCCGTAAGGCTGCAATTTAACGGAAGAATAGATGCCCTGTAGACAGACGTTTCAGAATTTCCTGGGAAGGGTGTGTTGTATGGTGGGACCCCATATTCCAGTACTTCCCTGTCCACATCCAAAGCCGCAACTCCCCTAAAGCTACCAGATCACCCCTCTCCAGTGGCTATCAAATACCTTGGCTTGCCGTTCAAGACCCTCCATCATACTAGCATCGGTTGTTCCCTTTTGGCATGTGCCCCCTGTGCCCACGCTGATTTTGCTGATGGGGATTATTTTGTGTTTTCACATTTCACCCCTAATTCAAAGACAGGCTCCTCAGGGTCCTCTCAACCTGCAGCGACCTTTTCTCCCCTGCTCTCCTAAGGGAGGGAGTTAAGACCTGGCACTTTTAGTCCAGTAGGCTGTTTGGCGCATATTTTGCATCTTCGTCAGATTCTCAGTGAGTGGAGAGGCATCTTTTGTTGTTGTTAGGGGTGCAATTCGGCACACTTAGCTCATCGTACTTTGAATATAGTCAGCGCTCGATAGCTACTATTAAAAAAAGAGAACAAGAGGCAAACAACAAACAAACTTTACTAGAAAGTAGAATCTCCCACCAAGTTGTGTAGCTTTCCTTATTTAAAGACAGAAGAAGAAAAAAACCACTATGGGTCAAGTACAAAAAAAAATGTATTTGAATCAAATAAAAATAAAATCGGGAACATCCCTAGCCCAGTGGACTTAGAGCATTAATTACAAAATAGAAGTAGCTGACACTTATGCCTTCTAAATATAAGCTTTTTCCTCCCAGAAAAGAGAAATAAATAGGTGTTAAATCAAAACATCCTATGGAGCATTTCACACCTCAGGAAGGAAAACTGACAAAGAGGTGATTCAATGCCAAAGAAGAATCCACCAGCAAAGAACTAGGTCGGCTTAAAGTAAGAAAACCGAAAGCTCTCCAACATAGGTTACACCCTTGTCCTGTCTGCAAGTGCTTTTGTAATACCCTACGTCCCCCTCTCATTGGAAAAAACATATACACTTCCCTTTCACTATTGAAATCAGTTAATTGATCATTTCCAAAAATAAATACTCCCATAGATAGAGGTCATTGGTCCTGAAATTGCATCAGTTCCTGTCTGGGTACGAGATTCCTGGGCTCCTCTGGGACGTCTTTGTCATTTTATCACAGTGATTACAAGCAGAGCAGTTCCAGCGTGGGTCCCCTCAGTTTCTAGTGCTTATGTTTGCTCTCTGCATTCCTATTTTCTCCATCAAGCCTTATAGCTTTTGCTTTGGAAATCTGACACTTAATATCCAATGTTAATTACATTTCCTATTCTGAGGAAAATCCTATTGGGCTAATTTTTCAAAATCATATAATGAAAGAACTTCAGTGACAAATCATGTAGGTTTTCGATTGTTTTTTACGGGTAGATCTATTAAGCACTTAATATTCAGTGGGAAAACAGTCTCAGAGCAATGAAATTCTATTACTTTAGAGGTTGCATGCTTTTAATTTCTTAATATTTCATTACATGTTGGCAACTGGTGCATATTTTTATAATGCGTTTGATCATTACTCTTCTCAGGGTATTCTATTTCAGTTCTTCCTCTGACATCATATTTGCATGTTAAAGGGTTTTAGCATTCAGGGATGAAATGTTCTGAATAGTAATGTGCAGTTAAGTTGATTTTTTGAAAACGGAACACAGCAAACAGACATTATATATAGGGACTAAAGAGAACAATCTCATAATTTTAAAATCGAACTCAAGTTTTAATAGCTTTCTATAGAACATCATAAACGGTAATGATTCAATATAATTCATTAATTAGCAAATTATGCAAAATGCTATCAGCAGAGTTTGGGGAGAAGAATCTTTTTTCTTGGCTTTTATAAGTCTACTGCATTTCTTTTTTTCCTGTAAAAAAAAAAAAAATGCTCTTTTCTTTGCTCTCCAGCAACATCTACTGGAAAATTCAGAAAAATGCTATTTATATGAATCAAATAGTTTGAGTAAGGATAGCTTTGATTACCATCTGCCTAAAAAGTACATGCTGAACTACAATCCAGTTTACAATGAAATTATTTCTGCTTACTTTAGTTCTATTTTGTTCTCTAAGAAAAGGACAGTTGTTTGGTGAGGCAAATAGCCAAGTCGCAACTTCAAATTTATCATTGCCTCACCTGGAAGAAGTCATTTTCATAAATAAAAGCAAAGCATATATGATACAGACAACATATTTCTCTTGGCCCATCCCTTCAACACTTGCCACTTATTTGAGAAATAATCATCATTATCAGCAGCAGAATAACAGCTTTCAATAGTTAGGTGTAGCTGGAGTCAGAGAAAAATTTCACGCAGGAAAAAACGATGTAGAAAAAAAACGAGATTGAATTTGAGAAAAGCTACTTCAAGATTCTGCAAAGTTTCTTAAGCTGAAAAAAAATTACATGTGATGCGATTTTAAAAACTCACTATGCTACCACCAGCACGATTGCATCAAACATTCGACAGCAGTGTCTTTTTCTCTTGTCTGCATCTTTCCCTATTCTTTCAACCATGAGGAAAAATTAAGTCTCCCCAACCTGTATCAGGGGCTTCCCAGGGAACTTCCACCAGAGATTATCTCTGGATGATGAAGTATGATCAGACCCACAGTCCATTTGGTCTCTACTCCCCACTACTCAGCAGTTTCTGATGTCCTCATAAAATTGGATTCATAGGCTGCACCCACAAGATGCCATCAGATGGTCTGGCAAACGCGAGACATGCCAGGGTATGATATTGAGGAGCAAGTCCGGTTTGGAAACTTGGGAAGAAAAAAATCTTATCTCCAGACAAATACATAAAATATCCTCCCTTCCGTGGCCGCTGAAATCAACAATGCCATAGTAGTGCAGTTCTTTCTAGGACCAAACCTAGTACAGGTACTGAAGTCACCCTTGTATATATCATTCCAGAGGAGGATTCTTTTAACTGAATTTTGTACTTTTAATATTCAGATTTTCTCATAAAAACATTTAAAAATGAATTTTAAACATTCTATGCTATCTTTTAGGTAAAATCTTAGATATAATCTGGATTTCTGTTATCCTTAATTAGAAACTTGGCTAATCAGAGGTGGGTTTGGGTTGTTTTTTTTTTTTTTCTTTCTCAAATCTCAGTTTTTTCATGTCAGCAATACATTTTAGCAGCAGAAGCAATGAACACAGAATCAACAAAGACTGAGGTTAAAAACACATAATCAAAACTTTAAAACAACAGAAGTAGCAACAAAAATCAAGTGCTGGGAGATCATGCATTTTGTGTTTGTTCAATGTTAAAATAGATATGAGCCTTTTAAGCTTCACCCCAAAGCTCTTTAAAGGAGACATGCCATCAAATATAATCCACAACTCTCATAGCACACAAAAGGGACATATTTCTAAAAGCTACGTACAATGAAAATCCATATGTATTCCACATTTAGGATCCTGATGCAAAGTTCCGACTCGAGACTGGTAATCAGCCCCTCCATTATTGAGCCGCTTAGAATCCAGAAAGGTTTATCAAACAGCACCTCCAGAGTTAACTCCCATTTCAAACTGTCATAATTCAGTTCTCCTAATTATTTACCAGATCCCTTTCTACAACATGCCCTAACCTGATGTTTTAACTTCATATTTCATTTGGGACAACACTTAATCTCTATTTATGAACCATCAACCTGACACACGTTAAGGAGATATAAGAAGCGCTTCACCCACAAGATCCAAGCCAAACAAACCCCAGTAGCTCGACTTAAATAAACTCTACCCTTGCTAAAACCTCCAGTGAAAAATTATTATAACACATCAGAAGTTCAGTTAGAAGAAAAATTTCAAATGGCAGCTGTCTCCTAGGGTTTAAGTCCCGGAGTTCAAAAGCAGTATCAATTGGATTATTTTTCTTTCCGTTAGCTGTTTAGAATTTAACGTAATGCAAAGTGCTATTCTGATCAAAATCATCTTTCTCATCTCTCTCCTTAAATAAAACGGAGGAGAAATCATTCAGTATAAATGCATTTACTATACAAATCTATTTTCAATTGAATTTGCTGCATGCTCTAATTCATCAAAATTAATACAGGTACTTTCTATGTTAAACAAAAGGAAGCCGACTGAAAAATCGGCTTCTGCTGCGGATGCCTTTCTCAATTACAAAACGGTGAAAACAGAGATTTAACTAAGCCACTCGGTCAAACCCTCCGATCGGCGCTTACCTGCCTCAGCTGAAGGCTTCCTTCCCTTGTTAGCAGCGTGCAGCATCTCTAGCTCGCTCCAATCCTTACCACCGGTCTCAAATTACACTGCTAAGTCCACCCCCCGCCTTTTTTTTTCTTTCTTTTTTTTTCTTTTCTTTTTTTTTTTTCCAGCAAGAAAATGCTTATTGAAAGTGATTAGTTTTTGTTGTCCCTTTTAAGTCCCTCCTGCGGGAAGGAACAGGGGAGCAATGTGACGCCACCTTTTAATCTTTTGTAAGAGTGAAAAGGCAGAAAAGGAACGCTCGATCAAACTGAGCTGCATACATGCCTAAAACTCGCAGGAGAGGCTGCTGCTGCCTGGCGAAAGCACCGCTAGGCTTGAGTGTAAGAACAGAGAAGAGAGGAGAGTCAATGAATTGTGACAACGTATGTGCATCAAAGGCAGGAGGAGAGAGAGAACAATGAGCGAGGGAAAGACAGCGAGGAGAGAGGGAGAGAAGCAGAGAGAGAGAGGGGGAGAGGGGGAGAGAGAGAGAGAGAGAGACAGAGAACATCAAGAAAAGAGAGCGGGTTTCAGGCAAAGGATTCTCAGAATAAAGCCACAGTGCAGTGTCTGGCAGCTTCTGTTTTTATCTCAGCGAGCATGATACACTGCCTCTCTCATTTAGAAACACATTCGTGTATCTCCCAGGTTTGAAAACTGAGATAATCGCAGTGTGTCTCTGGGTTTGTCTGATTGGCATTTAACTGTGTGGTATACCTGTGATTTTTTAGGATGCATTTATGTGCAATTTATTTCGCATATTTATTTATGTAGGCAAAAATGAAAGCTGCTAATTTCTACGGCAATTTGCAATGTAGTTTTACTGGCAGATGGAACTCTACTTATCATAACTGCTGACAAACTGCCATGGGTAAACAAAAGAAGAAACAAATGCTTCGTCTTGATAATTGTCTTAAAGAAAAAAAAAAAGAGCCCACACCAAAATATTAGCACTACAAAACCTGTGTTTCCTAGTTCAAGTTTAAACGGTGTTTCTCTTCATTAGTTTTCATTAATAAAGGCAAAATAAAAGGGAGGGCATGGTGTCTGAAGGAAAGGTATTGGAAAAGAAGCTATTAGGAAAGTGAAAAACCTAAATTATTTCTGGTTTCCCTCCAAATGTGACAACAGGATTGCTTTCGTGAGTCCTAGAACAGAGTTTTTGAGTCACTATTGCTACAGACTTTTACTGCATCCTTCTCCCTTCCTGTACCATTTTAAAGAAGGTTCCATTTTTGACACGAAGTCGAAAAGAAATGATTTCCCAATTCAAATTGTTTCAAATGGTGTGTCACCAGCTTTGTTCCATTTCTACTCATCTCCTACCACATGGGGGCTAGGATTACACAGTTAAATTCCCTAAGTGACCTCTTTTATAAGAATGTAAATTGCTGGTTCCAAGGTCAACTATTTGGTATAAGTTATTGGTGAAAATGACTGCTTACCTTTCATGGTAAGCAGAGCTAAAACAGTAGTAAGTGAACAGGAAGAGGAGATGCCCAAGCTTTTGACTGGCCATCTCTTCGAAATTAAGCAATTCCAATATCCGAAAGTAAATTCTATGTGCCCTACTTATAACAATTATCATTTTAGAAACATAAAAAATAGAAAAACCCAAGTACACAACCATTTCAACTATCTTATGTCCCAACAACATATCCCCGGACCCTAGGCATCTTGCAATTTGGAATTCCTATGTAAGCCACCAGATATAGAATGAGAAATGGTCCAAGAAGAATAACACTCTCTTCCCCCACACTGGCCACATTGCTGTGCCCAAAGAGGGATTGCTTAATCTTGTTAAACTCGAAGTGTCATACTCTTCATGGTTTGCCAATAGGAGGGTATGTTTTTCCCTTGGACCCAAATAAAGAAGTAATCCCCACCTCCACCCTAATGTGCTTAGGATGAAACTCTACTTATCATTAAGGCAGAGCAGAGAATGGAGAACACACAGGGGCTGAACAGAAGGCAGCTGGCCAGAGAACAGAGAGTGCTCAGATGTAGAAGGGAAAAGGGAGCTGCAAGGCCTGGCTAGCAGGGAGGGAAGTGGTGACTGGGAAATCCGGAAATCTCTGCGGACATTTTGCAGAGTGTATTGGAAGCAGCCTCCTTTAAATGACATTATTGATACAGGTTCTACAGTTAAAATTTACTTTATACAAGGGAATAAGTGGACTGAGAATTTTCTGCCAATAAAAATAAAGACCCAGTTACAAGGATGCAACTATTTCAGCACGCAACTATTTCAGCACAATAAAAACAGGGGAAGGGGCCCGAGGTTTATTGAACAGCATCTGCAAAACATTGTCAATGAGAGATAAAAAGAAATCTCCAAAGCAGACAAAAGGAGAGATTTTTTTAAAGCTACAAATGGCTATCAGTGCTGTTGTTTATTTTTACCGCTTCCTTAGTGAGGAGGTGGGTTCCCTGAGTGGATATCATTTGTAGTGGAGTGGATATGTGTGATTTAAGATACCTTGAGTAGGGTGGGGGGCTAGGTGATTATACTGGGGTGACCAAGTCATATTAATATTTCTTACAGGAATGTAACTTTTATGTGACTTATTTCTCTGTGGGAGAGCTTTACATTCATATGCTTATATGACAGCGTATGATACAGTAGTTAAGTGCTCAGTTTTTGGAACCAGGTTACCCTGCCTAAGATTGAATCCCAGCTCCACTACCTACTGCTGTGTGACCTTGACTGAGTTATTTTGTCTCATTGTGTCCTCATCTTAAGATGGGTGTAAGGCTACCTGCTTCATGGGTTGTCATTAAGAATAAACAATGTCTGTGCCGTGGTAGGTCCTGCTCCCAGCACATAGCAAGTGCATCAGTAAATGTGAACTTCCATTGTTAGGAAACCCACTCAACAGCTTTTTAAAATTTTAAAAATGGATAACATGGACAATATTTCATCACCTCAAAATGGATGACTCATAAAGACTTCTTTCCACTCTGACCCTCTTTACAAGCTACAGTTCTTCAAATTCCCCTCTGGGTTTTTCCACTTGGATAATATGCTTAAAACTCAATAAGTTCTACCACTCAACTCATGAACTCACCCTCGAAGCAAGCCCTTTCTCCAAATCTCCTCACCAGTGTAAAATGTAAAATCCTTCAAGCCATTCAGGGCTCAGTTCTTCCCCCACCACAATCATTCAATTACCAATAACTTAAATACCAACCCCATATCTCTTAAAGTTACTGTTTTCAGACCTCTGACATTTCTTGATTTGTGTACTTTTGCCTGGACAGTTGCAATAATTCTTCAATGCAGCTCTTCTTTAGGCTGTTTTAGTTGTGCTGAAACACATGAAGGGCGGTGAAATGCAACACCCATTCCAGGGGGCATTCCTAGGGTTCTGGCAAGGACTGCACCAGAGATCGTAACACCGCCTTTCCCCTTCTCAAGAATGCACTTGGAATCTGAATGAAAGGAGAATGACATTATTCTACATACGACCTTGACTCTGCCCTAATCTATAAACTAGCTAATGTTTGGCAAACAAATACTTTTCTATTAGTGCCTTGTTCATTGTGACACTTCTCCCAACTGTCGTGACACAGCCATTGAAAACAGCCGTTTTAAGAGGTTTTTTTTTTTCTTCTCCAATTCATCCTTCTTAAAATGCCACTCTGAATGACATCCATTCCCAATAGTTATTGATTGGTCAATTGAAAGTCTGTTTTATTTCATTATCTTATGTATCGGCTTGCACATCATCTAAGGTTCACAATTCCTTAGAGAATCAAGTGCAGATTTGTTTGCCTCAACTTCAGTCGCCTCTGTGGTTTGACACCAACCTATCCATGTAAACACTGGTTCTATCCCTACTGCACAAGAGCTTACTGTCCGCCCAGCCTGATGCATATGCATCCCTTTCAGAGCCTCAAGTACATTATTCGTTCTGTTTAGAACGGCCTTTTCTCTTTCATATCAACATATTTAACTCCAATCTTTTATCAGAGACCAGGACAGGTTACATGTCCTCCACAAGTATATCCTTGACTTTCTTGGTTTACATTGATGAAACTGTTAATTCCCATAGCTATCACAGTGCTCTCGGATGTATCATAATTAGGAGCTGGGCTTTGGGGTTAGTCCTAAGTCCAAATTCCCACCCTGAAATTTGTTTCCTAATTGTGGAACATGGGTCAAATTCTTTTACTCTCTAAACCCTGCTCTCCCCATCTGTAAAATATTGTGAGAACTTAATAGCTAATCCATGTAAAGCTATTATATAATAGCTAGTATATAGCTAACACCTACCCAATAATGAAATAGTTCATAGTAATGGGAATGCTTCTTAAATGACAGGGACTTATCATTGCCTCTAATTTCTAACCTTGCAACAACTCACCAAATGGCTGTTGCTGGAACCATTTTACAGACAACAAAACTGAGATTTAGCAAAATTAACTTACCCGACATCACACAAGGAGCAAATGGCAAAGCCAGGATATTAACCCTTGTCTTCCTACCTTCTAGTTATTTTTATCCATGTCAGGCATTCAGACTTAGCTTATGCCACATTGGTTTATTATTACTTGGCTTTTCTGGTTTGTGCCCCGTTCTTCCATATATGTTTAAATTAAATGAGAACAATATTCACATTTTAAACACTTTGCATCTTTAGTACCTCCCACAATCTGTAAACAAAGTAGCTTGCTTATTCGGTAAATATTTGTTGAGTGTTTGATCATCTATGCTCATGGGGATTAAGTTTTTAAACACATTTAAATTCAGCAACACTTTTTTTGGGGAAATGTTTTCATCACGTTTTCCACGAAAATCATCAAAATTATACAAAATAATATAAAAGACAAACATTACATATGAATGATGTAGCTATGGCTGCACAGATAGAAACAAATGCAGTTCTCTGCAAAAAAAAAAAAAAAAAAAAAAAAAAAAAAGCTGTAGGAAGGTGATACTCATTGATTTCGGTCCTCATACTTGGCATTTACATTCTGCTTGAAGATGGGCCCCTCAGGCCACCCATTCCATGCATGGAAAAGGAAAAGTTATTAGCTGATAGTCATCCTTTTAAGGTTACACAGAAAGACAGAACTAACCACACAAATACCCACAGCGTTTAATCACCTTTAATTCTTTCTTTTTAAGTAAATGCATTAATTATGTTCTCTTTTATTTTCTCTCTGGCTAAGTCTATATAATACTAAAACAATCTGGAACAACATAAAAAATTCCATCAACCTATGTGATGTTTTTCTGTGTACATGGTGATGAACAATATTGTTGAATTTTCAACAAGTTGAATAAATGCTTTTATTTGAAATATATATTTTTATACACACACACACACACACACACACACACACACACACCATGGTCTCTGCCTGTCTGTGCACAAATGAAAAACAATAGAACTAAGATAAAGAACTGCCTGTGCTCCCCATATTAGGATAATCAATGGTGTCACACACTTACTGTCTTGAAATATTTGCATAAACTTCATGAAGTCAGCGTGTTTTTATTGTTGTTGTTGTTGTTCACTGCTATATTCCTAGTAGCTAGACCAGTGCCTAACACATGGTGAGTGTTCAGTATATGTGGGTCTGATACATGAATGAGCCATTCAATTTTGCCTACATTCATCTATTTCTAGCAGTGTTTTAAAATCTGGTCTATACACCTCCAAACACATTTTGTACCCTGCTATCTCCCTATGTTTTCCTTTTGCATGGAAGGATTTGTTAAATGTATGCTATCCTTTGTTCAAAATAAGATACTTCTCCAACCAAAAATATTTTTTCTACATTATATTAGCTCACAGTAAATGCTCTTTCCTCCCATGTCTAAGCACCCATTGCCGAGAACATTTTAATACATATAATTTTCCCATTAATCTTGTCCTGCCTTTGGATATCTCATACCATTGGTGAACTGTTATTCTTCTAATATTACTAGGTCTTTTTTATTTGATTTATATCTTACTTCATCACATAGATTTTAAGTATACTGAAGGTTACATGAGCGAAGTATTTTTTTTTTTTGTACAATATATATTGCTATTCCTTTGAGTACTACCTTGTACCTAGAATGCACTTATTAAAAAAGACATGTTGATTTGGTGGGCATGCAATTCTGATGGGCATGCAATTCTGTCATTCGGAAATTATGTGAAAGAGCTTATAATACAGTCCCTGGCCTTTTAAAAACTGTTGTTAAAATACAGCTAGTATAATGTAAAAGTGCATAATTTATTTGTAGCGTTTTTACCCCTGGGGTTGTATGAAAGGCCATTTATTTATTTACTTTGTTATGTATTTGTGTGTGTGTGCACATGCTGCGCATCAACCAGTGTTCAAGTTGGTGTCAAAATTAGCTCATCCCAACAAATTGAGATTCTTGTGGTAGGAAGAATTAACAACTGCCCTCTGGAAGCATATCGTTTTCCCCCAATCGTTTATACATTAGTTGGAAGTCAGTTTGTGTTGACCCATGGGCAGCTAATCCTCAGAGAGAGAGTTCTCAATTCTATAGGGTCTCTTCTAGGAGGTCATTTCAGGCCCAATTATACAATCTCTCTCTTCTACGAGGTTTGTTTTTCCTTAGGGTGAATATGATATGAAAGAACATTGTGGAAGAAACCTCATCTTAATAAGCCTTTTACCTTGGACAAAATAAGCTTTCTTAAGAAAGATTTTTCACCCTCATAATGCTTCCTTCTTGATTCACTAAAGATTCATGCTCCTGAAATTGCCTATATATTTTTTCCAAAAAGAAAAAGAAATTCTCCAAAATAAGAAAAGAGCATAACCTTTGAAGTTTCAAAAAAGCCCTTAATGTATCTTTCTTATTTGTAAAGATGAGATAATTTGGGTCGATTTTTATATCCGTTTCCAAACTTGCAATGAGTATATAATGTGATTAAAGGTTTGTGATATAAATAGTTTTCTGAAATTAGTTTATTGGCTTATTATAATTATATCAGATCTTATTTAGCCAATTAAAACAAATTATTTTGCTTATAAAACTGCTCACATTAATTAACATGTTCTGGCATTTTGGTTTTTGTCTGCTGAACAGAAGTCTGTCTTGTCTGTTTTCCATTTCTGTTTTGCATAGTAATTGGAACAACCCCTTAAGTGAAAACCAAAGTAGCGGAGCCACCTTATCATAAAGTAAAAATGGAAAGCAAATCAAGAGAGAACCTTAAATCTCTGCTTCCCATGGTGGACCGAATAGAGTTGGCCTCAATGAAACTCTAAGTAAGAATTTACGTTCCTCTCCATTGAGTTGAATACAGGCTTTGGTGGACTATTTGGTTCTTGTTACTGATGTTTCTCAATATGGAACGTTTGAAAGCATCCAACCAGAAGTTGCACAATGATCACAGCCTTGAACGTATTCATCAGAAAAACGCATTCACTGCTACAGGTTTTATTTTTACAGGAACCAGTGTGCTGCACTGTTTGCGAGTTTCTTCAATGCTCTTACCCATGACAATCACAAAAGCAATTCACAACCTTACTTATCAGATAGTTCTGTTTTACAATAATCTGGTTGCTATTTGTAAAATCCAGGAAAAAACAGTGCAATTTCTGATGCTGAATATCTGAAAAGCTCTGGAAGCTGCTAGGAAGAGATATGCACTAAAATATGTAATGTGATGGAATTACAACAGACAGACATTCTGGAGGGTGTACACTCTAGTGCATCTCAGAGTACGTGACATCTAATGGCGCTACTTTCAAGATTTGCAAAGAAATTCTGCATTTAAACGGCTCCCTTCCACTCACAGTTTTCTTAGCTCCCCTATTTAACTCTTTCATTAAAAAAAAAAAGAGAACTCTCTCAAAAAGAATGATCAACCAAAACAATCGCCAGTGAATAACTGTTTCCAGAACAAAATGAAAGTAGGGATCTCAATGAGATCATTTATTTCATGAGCTAGTTCCTAAAACTTTAGATGTACCATAAAAGCAAAAACATCTTTCTGATGAGAATTTAACTCACACAAAAAAGTGGTGATTTTAACAGCTGACAAATCCCCTATAATAAGGGGCTTAAACAACAACAACAAACAAACAAACCACTTTTCCAGTGATTAGTCTGTGCAGATGTCAAAGAAAAGTGCCATACACTCCCTTAAAGAATATAGACGCCAGTTAAATCTTTTTGGGTGTTTTCATGACCATATATTAGTGTGAGAGCAAAATGGGAATAACATACACCACTGAGAGGCAGTATAGTGCAATAGATAAAGTGATTGAATTTCAATCCCTGATCTCAGCACATAGCATTAGCTAAATTACTTCACCGCTGTCTACCTCAACTTCTCCGTCTATGAAATGGGACCAGTATCTCCAAGTTTCTGATAATAAGATAAACAAAAAACATTAGCATATTTATAAAGGCAGATAGCCCTATCATTTCTTTGTGCAGTTAAATTCTACCAAAGCTAAATCTACTCTAAGAGGAAAAAGAATTGCATTATGGAAGCTAAATGTTGTTCCGGAAGCTGCTGGGGCACCAATTAATAGAGTGATGTAATAAACCACTCAATAATCCTGCACTGGCTGAAAGAATTAATGCAGCTCACCTCTGTTGCTGTGAGTGCAATACCATGTACTCAGAGGGTGCTCGATAAATATTAGCTGATGATGATATTGACAGGGTGCTGTGTAGTCACGGCACTAAGTGAATTGCTAAGTTTACAATTGTACAGAAAACTCGTTGAATAATTATTGGCAATAAAAGAAACCTATCCCTGACCTCATTTACTATATTATGACATCATCTCACGCATAATAAGACCATCACCAATCCCTGGAAGCTTAATAGCCTTGTCCTACTGACTTGACACAATAAAAATAAGGTCATCCTGTAAAACATATTTAGAATTTGGGTACTTCTTAAAACTTTCATTGTTAGCACTCTGTTGCAGTCTATCACCATTTCTTTTCTGGATTTTGTAGCGCCTCTCAATTGTTTTCCATGATTTCTACTTTAGGCCCCTGTGGCAGTTCCTTATGCTGGGGATTCCTAATGTATCTTACCTTCGTGTATTCACAGTCTTGTATAGTTCTCTCTCATACTGACTCTGGGATTGGCCAGACTCTGGGATTGGCCATGACTTGCTTTGGCCAATAGGCCATTAACAAACATGATGCAAGAAAAGGCACAAGAAGTTCTTGAGCATAGGGGCTTGCCCTGCTGGAAGAATGCCATCCCCATGAAAGAAAGCCTTTTCTGGCCTCCTAGAAGATGAAAAACCAAGAGGAGGGAAACGCTCAAATATTTCATGGAGTCCAGCCCCCATGAAACCCACCAGCTAGATGAAACTGTACAAGTGAGTACAGGCAAGTCCCCCAAAAGAACTGCCTGTTGGACACACCAGAATGTGAGCAACAATCATTTCCTCTTGTTTCAATCTGCCAAGTTCTGCTGCATTTTTTATCTAGTAATAAATTACTGATACATCCCCTGCTGATTATTTCCAACTCTGCTAATCAGGGTGATTCTTTTACAATGTAAGCCAGATAATCTTACTCCTCCTCAAAGCCATCTATGAGCTCCTTATCTCAGAGGAGCCCAAGTCTTCCTAAAGACTTGACTTTCTAAAGACTTGACATGCTCTGCCCTTCCCTCAATTTATCCGATGTCAACTCCACTAATCTCTCCCTCACTTTTCTCTTTTCAGCTGCATAGGCCTCTACCTCAAAGGTTCTTCTTCATGAACATGGATTACTTTCACACTCTGTTTGGGTGTTTCCTCCAAAATCATTTTTTCTCAGCAGGGCTTGCCCTGATCAAACTGCATCATCTCCTTGCCCCCAATTCTCCATCCTCCCTTTCTGTTCCTTTCCATTGCACTTAAGACTTCTAAATCACTATATGGTTTACTGATTTTGGTCACTGTCTGACTCGCTTTCTCAGAATGTAAGCTTCAAGAGGGTCAGAAGTTGTCTTTTTGGTCCCCACACTTAGAACAATGGCTGGTACATAGGATAGACTTAGTAAGTACAGTCGTGCACCAGTTAGCCATGGGGATACATTCTGAGACATGAATCCTTAGGCGATTTTGTCATTGTGCAAACATCATAGAGTGCACTTACACAAACCTAGATGGTAAACCCTACTTCACACCTAAGCTGTATGGCATAGCCTGTTGCTACCAGGCTTCAAACCGGTACAGCATGTTACTGTCCTGAATACTGTAGGCAATTATAACACAATGATAAGTATTTTAATATCTCAACATGTCTAACCATAGAAAAAGTACAGTAAAAACACTGTATAGAAGATAAAAACGGTTACACTATATAGGGCAGTTCCATTATAATCTTATGGGACCACTGTTGTATATGAGGTCTGTCCCTGACTGAAATGTTGTTATTTGGTGCATTACCGTATTTGCTAAACTATAAAATTAATACTTCTGGTTAGGGTGCCCAGGGCTACAGATTGGGTTCTATATTTAATGGCAATGCTGAGATTGGATAGACTCTGTAAGGACACACAGTTGGTGCAACTTACAAAGATTTACGAGACATCACTTGGCAGAAAACAGAAGTAGCCTTGTGGTCAAGGAGAAGAGAAGGTCAAGAAGGTTCTTTGGGAAGTATTTCATCAGAAGGTCTTTTCACAGGTGGTGAGAACCACAATCAAAAGCAAAGAGAGGCGAGTACTCACCAGAATAGCCACCATGGAAAGGCTAAGGAGGAACCCAAGGGAAGAAAAGGAGACTCTCCAAGCCTGCTTGAATTTAAAAGGCAAGTGGCACAGGGAGAAAGATGCCTCCAAAGGGTAAATCTGATCTTTTTGTGGAAGACAAAGTTTATGATGTGCTTGCACCTTTTTCAGGAAAAGCCTAAAAATAAAGCCAAATATATCTGAGGCTTGGTCTTTTCATGCTGATATCAGAGTTGAGAATGCACACTGAGCCAACATTGCTACAGTACCTAGGCATGTGCCCAGGGATGTGACACACTGGCATTTAGGCTCCATAAACATGTAGATCACAAGTGGTAGGCTTGCTTTTTCTTTTTCTTTTTTTTTTTTTTTTTTGAGACAGAATTTCGCTCTTGTTGCCCAGGCTGGAGTGCAGTGGTGCGATCTCGGCTCACTGCAACCTCCGCCTCCCAGGTTCAAGCGATTCTCCTGCCTCAGCCTCCCGAGCAGCTGGGACTACAGGCGCCTGCCAACACGCCTGGCTAAATTTTGTATTTTTGGTAGAGACAGGGTTTCACCGTGTTGGCCAGGCTGGTCTTGAACTCCTGACCTCAGGTGATCCACCCGCCTCAGCCTCCCAAAATGCTGGGATTACAGGCATGACTTGCCACCATTTTCTATTTGACTGATCACAAGGTTGGCCAAGCAGCAGTCACAGGCTTCCATTTGAATACTTCACATTCTGAGCTCTTCTCAGGAGAAAAGGTCCATCTTACAAAGGCACAGTCTAGGCTGGCAGCGTGGCCTCCAGCTCTCAGTTCAGGTGTGTGGACAATAATTTACCTTAGTTAGTGCAGAACAGACGTGACCTGGGATGACTTCACCTCACCAACTCAATCTTTGTGCAAATCTTATCTGAAACCATCCATTTTCCTCCTTGCCCACACCTCATTCTCCCCATTGTTCTGCAATTATTTATTATCTGGGTCCGTAATTGTATTGTTTCTAGCAGCCATGCAAACTCTATTGTTAGGGGGAAAAAATGCCTCTTTGCCCAACTAGATTCTCTTGTGTGGGGAATAAAGGATGTTAGAGCTCTTAATATACAGCTCTCTATGTTCAATTTTCCTAAAAACGAAAATTGCCAAAAAGCAAAGCATGCAGGAGACGGATGGATGGATGCCATCGCAGCCTCACGCTCCTGCTGATGGATGGTGTGCCCTGAATGACTGGGAGCACTCACTAACTCACTGCCATACCTCCTGCTTTCAGGGAAGCTGGCACAGCCATCCCTTCCAAGAGCGAATCCCTCCACGCTCACCATCTCTTTAACTGCCTCACTTAGTCATACCCGGCCTTTTCCAAAACCAAAGCACCAACAGGCACAGAGACTATCCCAGCCCAGCAAATGACGAAGCTGAAAGGTGGCGCTAGGACTCTGTCTCTCTGTCTCTCTTTTTATTTTTACGGTTCTAATGTATACATGTTAGCATTTGATCTCACTTAAAATATTTACTTCATGATTTGTGGTAGGGGAAATGTCATTAAAAAAAATTCCTTTAGCTTAATTACAAAAGATGTAAATGTGGTCTCACTTGCAGAAAAAAGTTACTCTTAACAATGAGGTGTAAATTGGTGTCTGCTTAATCTATTCACAGCAGGAATAAAGCCTAACACTCGCCTCCTCACCCTTATTTTTGCAGTAGTACCTGGGAAATTAATACCTTCTTGGGAGCTCTTGCAGCATCTCTGATTTTTTAAGGGAAAAACAACATAGACGTTTCATCTTGATCTTTCTACCAGCTGTAAGGACATTTATTTTGCTCCATTTTGGGCAACTGTTTTGAACCACGGACCACAGTTACACTGTCTGACCTCCGTCATGGGCAGCAAAAGTTCAGCCTTCTCCTCTTCCTCTAACAATTATGGCCTCCTGCACATCCCAGAATGGAGTGAAATTAATAGGGGAACCAGAATGTTATTTATACAATGACCTTGGGCTCCTGGGGGAATTGCAGGCCCTATCCTTTCACTTATGATGTTTTACATTTCAAAGAACCTAGCTCTCTTTGATATTAAAGAATGAAATGTGCAATGTAATTGTTATTGTTTTATGACCTTTAATAGGTTAATCAGGTTGCATCAGGTTTTCCAGGGTGTGATTCTGTACCAAAGGAAATGATTTGCCTCATAGTAGATGGATTCTGACAAAAGGGCTCAACATTAATATTTGAGAGGATGAATATACCAAGGTACCTAAATCCTCAAGAAAAAATGGTGATTTTGCTTACCTCAGTTCCTCTGTGGATAATAGCGATTTCTCAACTGGCATGATTGACATTTTGGGCTGGATCATGGCTTGTTGTGGGGCTGTCCTGTGCATCACGGGCTGTTAGGCAGCATTCCTGAACTCTACCCACTAGATACACACAGCCCACCTTCTCCCCAGTTCATGACAATCTAATGCCTCCAGGCAATGCCAACTGTCCCCTGGGGAGGAAAATCAACCCCAGTTGAGAGCTATGAGGGTAATTTTTTAAAGTTGAGGTGGGGATGTTCTTTTTGGAATTATGATATAGTATAGAACCTACTGGCTGAAATGATAATTCATATAGTAGTAGCTAATGTTTCTTGAGAGCTCTCTGTGAACCAATTAGCACCATGCCAATTGCTTTATATGTTTGCTCCCATTTGATCCTAAAAACAAACCTATGAGATAGCAATTATGATCTGCATTTTACAGTTATGGCAACTGAGGCTTAGAGGAGACAAATAATGTGCTCAAGACTGCCCAGCTGTGAAGTGGAAGAGTCAAATATGCCTAAACCCAGAGCTCCCTTACAGGTGGCACTCTTCCCTTTCTGGTGTACATACTACCACTCTCCCTGTGGTTATAATCCGAATATCTGCATTAAATTCAGGAGTTGATCAAGTACCACTGTGCTAGGAAAATCACCTACATGCTAAACAGATCTAAGAAAAAAAAATAAGGCGATGCTTGCCCTCAACTGTCGCATGCAAAATGAAGAGTATAATACAGAAATAGGTAATAAAAGGTAAAATGCAGTAAGAGAGACTAAAGAGGTTAGAGACGGAGTGCTCTGGGACCACAGCCTTCAATGTACACAAGAGTCACCTGGGGTGGTGTTAAAATGCAGGTTTTGATTCAGTAGATGTGGACTGGAGCCTGGGATTCTGTATTGCTAACCAGCTCCTGGGTGATGATGGCACTGGTCTGAAGACCTCACTTCAAGCAGGTCACTGTTACTGTGCTGGGAAGTGTAGCTTCCATGCATTTGAGAAGTGAGGCACAACAGTACGGATCTGAGATGCCAAGGAAGCATCGCCACAGAGTGGGAGGGGTGAGAGGAGGGGTGGGGATTGCCTTGGTCGTGAGAGCCACCCTTGTCTGTCAGCCCTGCACTTGGAGCAAATGTGGAGTGCCTGCATTTGTCGACCACCCACATATACAGCTAAACATCTGCTATTTTTAAAGGACAGATATTAATTTGAAGCACGAAAACACCTACCCATTGAACATAACTGATTTCTGCAAACACATTATATTCTCATGAACAGTTTCATACTTTTGGAAGAGAAGACTTCTTTCTCTCCAAAATACTATGATATGGGATACATAAGAAATATCTCCATGCCCCCTTACTCCCACCCCTACAGGCACTGAGATATGAATGGCTGTGGAGCTGCAATGGGCCACGCATGTATTTAACAAGGAAAAAAACTACAGGTGGGAGGCCAAGAACAAAAAGAGATTTTTTTAATCCAGTGAAGATCACTATTAAAATGATGGTTCTGAGGACTGTAAACTGCATTACCATTTGTTTAGCTGTGCTCAGAAAGTCAGAAACCAAGTCCTGTAATAAACATTCCTAAAGCAATGGTTTGAGAACTGATCTCCACTAATGGTTGTGGCCTCTTCACCCAGTCCACAGTGACCATGACAGATCACAAACTGTTTTGTGACATCTGGATTTGACTGGGGGTCAGAATGAAGGGGATGAATTTTGAGTCACTTGGCTTTCTGGGCATATTCAGCTAATTCTCCATCCACATTGCAGGGGGACACAACGGAGGGATGATTTGCTGGGATGTAGAGATGGACCATAGTTAATACAAAGGCTGAGACGCTGAGAAGTGCAACCAACCAACTACTGCCATATTCTACTCAGATATGAAGTGGGAGGTCTGAATTGTATATATTTGAGGTTATGGGTGTCACAACCATTCAAACTGCATTGCACAATGATGGAGTAAGATTGTGAGTTTATGTTCATTCATTAAGCTCCCACTATGTGCCAGGCCCTGGGATGTATAGATCAACACTGTTGCTCCTGTCCTCAGGGGCTAGCTGAGATAAAGTGTTCCCCATTCATGAATCATTTGTGTTATACCTTGATGATTTTTACTGCTGACTGTACCTAATTGATATGTACTCAGTTTTTTTTTTTTTTCCCTTGGACCAGCAGTCCCCAACCTTTTTGGCACCAGGGTCTGGATTCATGGAAGACCATTTTTGCATGGACCCAGTGGATGGTGGTGGTGGGGATGATTTCGGGATGACTAAAGCACATTACATTTATTGTACACTTTATTTCTATTATTATTACATACTCACCATAATGTAGAATCAGTGGGAGCCCTGAGCTTGTTTTCCCGTAACTAGATGGTCCCATCAGGGGGTGATGGAAGACAGTGACAGATCATCAGGCATTAGATTCTCATAAGAAATGCACAACCTAGATCCCATGCATGCGCATTTCATAATGGGGTTCATGCTCCTATGCGAATCTAATGCTGCTGCTGCTGATCTGACAGGAGGTGGAGCTCAGCTTCGCTCACTCACCTGCCACTCCTGCCATGCAGCCGGGTTCCTAACACTACTGGTCTGTGGCCGGGGGGTTGGGGACCCTTGCTTTAGACAATTTCAGTTTTTATACTTTCAATTTGGCCTCATCTTAAGTAACAATATCTGTGAAATTATGTGTTTGAAGTACTTCTCAGGAATGATCAAACCAGTTGCTAAAATATTAAAATAAACTTCTGTGACTATTGGAAGACAAAGCCTACCTCAGCCTTGGGAGTGTCTACCACCACCCTGGGACTGTGGCCAAGCCTCATGGGCTTCCCCAGGATCCAGAAAATTCAAAGTCAGACCAGGCACAGGCTGGAGCTTCTAGCATCCTGATGCCACACTCCAGACAGTGTCTGTTCTGACGGGCTTGAACCCATTCCTTAGTGGTTCTGCTTCCAAAAAGCACTGAAGGTTTCTGTTTCACGGCTTTTAGAAGATCTTCTATGCAATTATCTTAAAAACAAAATAAACCCTCCTGCTCCAAAAGCCTGTTGCACAGCAGTTCCAATTACTAAATCTGCAATATGAGAAGTTATATTTTCTCCAAGGTTCAAATACTCTCTTCTGTAAAATGAGTATAATGTAAACATTTCCTACTTCATGGATTAAATCAAGATTTTTTTCAACCTCAGCACTATTGACATGTTGGGCCAGATAATTCTCTCTTGTGGGTGACAGTCCTGAGCACTGTGTGATGTTTAGCAGCCTCCCTGGATCCACGAGATGCCAGTAGCATCTTGCAAGCCATGGCAATCAAGAATGTCTCTAGAGATTGTCTAATGTCCCCTGGAGGGCAGAATCACCCCCCTACTGGGTATGACTGAGGTAAGTGAAATAAGCCACGTACAGTCTCAGGCTAGGATCGGGCTCATATTATAACCTCAGTAGTATTCAGTGCACTTATCAAGCATTTCCTACATGCTTGGCATGCTTCCAAGCACTTTAAATCTATTGCTTCTTTAAACTGTTACATAACCTTGTGAGCTAGGCCTTGTTATTATTCCCATTTTATGAATGAGGAAAATAAATGCAGGAGAGTAAAAGTAACTTGCTTGAAATTTCATAATGAGTCACTGGCAGAGCTGGGATTTGAACACAGGCAATCCATCTCCAGAGCTCATGCTCTTAGCTTTTTTGCTTTCCTACCCTTGTAGAAGAGGAAGTCTCCACAAAATAGGCATCATGGTGACAATCGTGATGGTAAGAATATTGATGAAAATTACATAACCACACAATAGGCTAAGATTTTTATATTAAAATTATATTCCACATTTTAAAAACTCACAAAGAAGCATATAAGGTACTTGATAAGAAATTCAAATATGGATCATCCATAATTAAATTTTCACATGCCAATGGTCTGTGTACACGCACACACGCTTTTCTCAAAATGATTAGAAAACTCTCTCAAAATGATTAGAAAACTCTTAAATTTCCCAAAGCCAATAAAGATTAAAAACAAACAATAAAAAACTTAACATTTTAAATAAAGAAATGTGCATTCTGGTAGAATCCCTAATTGACATTATAAGGAGTTCAGAGAATTCAGAAACTGTGCTAACATGCAGGGCTGTCCCACTGCTGTGAGAAGACCCTTTGGAAAATGAGATGCTGTGATCAACACGGGCACCTAAAATACAAGTGAGACCAAGGGATGGGGGGTACTTGCTGCACTCCGCATTGGTGAATGAGCCTTGCATGTTCTCCCAGGGATTCTTCTCACCCCAATGTCCTAGGCAGCCAGTATACATCAAAAGCATTGACACAGACTGAATTCTACTTATCAAGGGTGGTCTAAGCGAGCTCAGAAAAGTCCACTGACCTACTATGGTGGCTAGAGAACTATCTCTCTAAGCTGTCTTTCTACCTAGCAACAAAAGGAAATATTTGGTGACATTAAGTGCCCGTGGAAACAAAGTGTGGGTTTACATAAGTACATATGTATTGTTTCCTCTGACAAACAAAAATTCATAACCCAAAATCAAAATCAACACAACTAGAATAAGCAAACGTACACGCTGAATTTTGATGTGACAGATACATATATATATATATATATGTAAGTATACATACATATATATGAAAGAGAAACTGAACTGTAGACTTAGAATAACAATTCAGAAAGATGCCATTATTGCCTTCCTCTAAAGTTTTAGAATCCAGGCTACCATTGAATTAAGTTTGTCATTGTTGAACACAGAAAAATGAGAGCTTTTCTACATTTGACTGAAAATCTTTGCATTTCTTCCAGTCTGAAATAGAAACTTGCAATTAAATCAATTAAGCAATGAAAATCAAATATTCCATTAAAATCTAATTTTCCTCATATCTGATTGGTTGTAACTCAACTGAGCTGGAAACAGATGACAGAGGCAAAATGACTCAAAGTCTAAGACATGGAGACAGGAGAAAGGGAAAATATTTAACATGTTCATAGGAAATTTAATAAGGGCATTTTATTTTCCTTCTGCTTGTGTAAGTTTAACCATTAGGGGTTCCCCAAACATAGGATTTGAGAACTAATGCGGCTCACTTTAATGAAAACAGCAAGGTTCCTTTCTCTTCTATCTTCTTTTTGCAATCATGTCGTTGAAGTTTCTTTGTCGCCTTATGGAATTTGAAAAGGCTCGACCAAGCTCATTTCAGAGGGTGCCGTGCAGCTTTGGAGCTCTCCAGCAGGCCCAGAATTTAGTTGCTACGACCGACAGTCAGATTGAAATTGGCTGTGTTTACTGATTCCGAGAGTTACAGACCCAACATGTCAGGGAGGGATTTATTCTTCTTAGTAGCAAATGGAGGAGTTGTCTCTAGGGGATTTAGGGAAAGAACATGCCAACTGACTTACACATTCTTTTCCCCTCGTTCCTACAGGTGACACAAGCTAGCGACTTCCATACCAGCAATCCCTCCATGAATGGAAGGCCAAATCTCCAAATATGAGGTGGAAAATGACTTCTTATGTTGTACAAAAAGCCGTACAGTGAGGAGAAGACAATAACTTACAAGTGAGATGTTTTTCCAGGGTTTAACGGACAGTAGGGTATCCAACCAAGTTTGAGTTAAATATAATATTGAATATGAATTTTTGAAACATATAAATGAGCAAAAAGAAAAGGGAAAAATTACCATAGTAAGCTTCAAATGTTAAACACAAAGGTGCAGTTGGTCAGTATTTCTCAGAGGGCTTTTTAAAATTCATTCGTCAAAACTATTTTTAAGGCCAAACTGCTGAGATCTCCCAGAAAGCAGCTCATGTGTTTGGTTGTCGTAGCCAGCCCCAAATTAGGTAGATCTGAGAAAGTAGACAGAGCTGCAAATGCTTTTCCAAGAGCCAATGGAAACAAGTGTGTGTGTTTGTGTGTGCATGTGTGTATGCATGTGTGTGTGTGCGTGCACGCGCATGACTGTGTGCTGCGGCAGAAAGGAAAGTGTTTACTTCAATTGGTACCATTGCTTTCCAGAGAGATGAGTGATGGGAAATGTGTGTTTTTAATCCTGACTATTGAAAAAAAATTAATTTATAAGGATTTTCTTTGCTTTCCTACTCACACTCCCCCCAAGCATCTGTCTACTCTGAGCAATTGGAACAGGTTGGAGGAGGAGGAGGAGGAGGAGGAGCAGAGAGAGAGAGAAGCTCCTTTGAAAGTAAACAGCTGCTCTTGAGTTTCTTATCTTTGCCACCCTCTTGGCCCAATCCACTTCTTGGTCACACTGATAGTGGTTAGGAATACAGGCCCTGGGGTCAAACTGGTTGGGTCTGAATTCCAGCCCCTCTGTGTACCAGCTTAGTGACCATGGCCAACTTACTTCACCTTTCTGTGCCTCAGTATCCTCACCTGCAAAGTGCAAAAAATAGCAGTACACATGCCCTGAGGTTGTTATGAGAATTAACCATAAAAGTCGCTTAGAATGGTGGCCATTGGAAGTGTCTTTTCTCCACAGCTAAGTATCCACAGCTCTGAATGTACCTGTCACTGCTCCATCTACCCTCAAAGCAGGACTATAACCCACAATCTCCTTTGCCATTGGACTCCTTTAAATGATGAACACTGTATCGTGAGGTCACAGAATCTAAGCATCTGATCAGAACAAGTGTCAGAAAATGAATGAAAATAATCATCACTCCTTTTAAAAACACATATGCTCAAGTCTTTCCAAGGAGTCTGGCTGGGTTATCATCTTTTCTATTTAGAGTATAATGCAGCTAGCTATTGCACCAAGGCATGGTAACCTTCCTTACTTCAATTTAACCATTGCTCTGGTCCAGAACAAGGTCACTCCTATTTTAGAGTCTAGATAAATCACAATTTGTTGTCCATAAAATTGGAGGGCGGTACTGCAAAATAAGTGAGAAAATGGATATTGCTGTGGTGGGAATTCTGGACAAAAAATTAAATTGTGCCAGGGGAAAGCCTATAGAATGATCCCCAGACACTTCCCATGAGAATCAAGCCCTGTTTGAGAAACTCCTCGCCATGTGCCATTATGTTGTGAGACCTGAAGAGGACCCTTCCATGCTGACAGAAGACCCCCATCTCGCCCTCCTCCTCCCCTTCTCAGGGAGACACTGGGCTCTGTCCAGCCTGCCTGGCCCACCTGGGATCTTCTAGGTCTTTCTATCACAATACTGCTTTAGAAAAGTCTGTGTGAAGGAGGGGACTCTGGTATTTAACTCCATCCATCAATGTCAACCCCTCTTTCCCCTCTACCCCAACAGCTTGGTCCATTTACCTAAAAGCTGAATAGTCTAAATGGATGGATTTTGTGCTGGTCTCATTAGAAAGGGAAATTAGCCAGGCACCATTCAGCTGTGCAGAAGGCATGCTGATCCTGAAAGCCCTTTCCAACCCCCGCCCCCAATCTTTTCTTCATCACATATGACGTCCATGATTCCCTTAACATTTCTTAAAGCTTTCATTATCCACCACTCTAGTTTGTAATGAATACAAAGCTCTGAGTTCCCATCTCCTTGTCTCATTACCCAGCCCAGAGCTAGGCACAGATCTGGACGCTATGTGAGAGTAGATGACTTCCTATGCTGTCCTGCTCTTTGACACCTGTTTATACATTCATAGTTGGCCTTTGATAAATCAGCGCTATTTACTGACACAGTACTATCAAAAGTTTAGGTCCTGCTGCCCCTCCAGCCCCATTTATACTACCCTCCTCCCAGCCCTCTGTTCCTGACACACTGACCTGCTGTCAACTCTTGGGAACTGTAGGCTCCCTGTCACCATTGAGCCAGTGCTCATGTCTTTATGTGTCCGGAATGGTCTTCCCTGCTCCTCACATAGTTCACTATTCTTCATCCTTTAGTTTCAGCACATGACTCGTTTCCTTAGAGAAATCTTCTCTGATCCCATCAAGCTTCATCAGTTTCCTTTGCTGTGTGTCCTCTAGAACCATGTCTGTCTATCAAAGCATTTTCCCCAGCTTGTAATTATGTCTTTATTGGTTGCCTATTTGATTAATGTCTTGCTTCTCTACTAGACAATAATTCTGTTCTGGGGACAAGAACTATGTCTCACTTATTCATTCATTCATTCATTCATTCATTCATTATTAACTTACCATTGCACATCAGCACCTATCATAGTGTCTGGCAGCTAGTAGGTGTTTACTAAGTATTTGTCAAATGAAGAAAGTTCATGCAACCATGAGGGGCAATGCCATTAGGATGTTTAAGAATGTAACTCCTCTAGTTATCTATTACTTTTTATGTCCCTAGAGACAGAAAGAGAAGAAATCTCAGTCATATACGCAACACACCTTTATGGAATACCTCCTATGATCCAGGCTTTGCAGACAAGCCAATCATCTTCCATGCCCAAAGCAGCAAACTCCTCCAGTGCTGATGGGCATTGCCTCCAGTGGTAATTAGCATTACCAGGCTACAATGTCAATAGGTGTCTGCACAATGCTAACATAATCCCTTTTTTGTGGGCGGCGGGTTGGGGGGAAGGATGGGAGCTCATCTTTTGTTCTTAGTAATCTCAGTGGCATTCAGCCTTGACTAAATATGGTGGCTTCCTAAGAAGCGTTTCAAAAATATTAGATGAATATTAGTGGCTCCAGAGAATCAAGGTAAAAATCATGGGAAAGAATTATCGTTCTCAAAATTAATACTAAA
Organism: Homo sapiens; assembly: GCF_000001405.40. NCBI lineage: Eukaryota > Metazoa > Chordata > Mammalia > Primates > Hominidae > Homo > Homo sapiens. The sequence goes on along the minus strand of NC_000005.10, from coordinate 167,552,350 downwards.
TAAAAAACAAATGATGACAAGTGAAGTTTTCTGATGTACTGAAAAAGGACTACAGCACCCACTTGACTCTGCCTAACGTGCACCTGAGTATATTTATGCAGCTTGAACTTTAGGATTTTATGGAGTTCTGATTAATAACACAGCTATTTCAGGCTATTTGGTACAAGTGGACCAAGAATTTTGCCGCCTTGCCTAGCTCATTCATTTGTGATAGCTTTGCAATGACAATGGCCTAGAGATACTTTTCAGGACACTTGAGAATTTCGATTAATAAGTAATAGACTTAAGTGATTTATTGCAGGTATTATGCTTTTTCTCCCCAGAAAACCCACAACCTAGCTGTTCAGGGAATGAACTATTTGAGAACAATTGCCAAGGAGCTGTTAACTTCTGTGACTGCCTGGCTTGAAGGAGTTCACCCACATTCCCCTGTTCCCTCACCAGTAGCCTAGAAGTCAACACCAACTTGGGAGACTTCATGATTCAAGTACTGCAGAGATTGCCTTTAGCTGTCCCAATAAGGAGCAATCTGGGAACCTTTCAAATTACATAGAAATGAATTAACATATGAACACTGTGCCCCTCAAAGGCACACAATGGAGTAAGTTTGTCCAACTTACACAAAATTGATGCCAGGCTTTTGGCAAAAATAAACAAATGAATACATAGATAGATTAAATAATTCAAAACTTATATTTTATGGGTTTATTTTTGTGTGTGTGCGTGTATGTGTGTGTGTATGTATGTATGTGTGTGTATATATCCATATAGAGAGATTGGTTAAGTGTTATGGAGAAATAAAATAACCTATACACTTCTATTTTGTTATGGATTTGCTCATGAGTTTAGTGTCAAAGACATACAGTTACTATGTACTTCTTTATGGTTTACTGTTGACAGATGTATAGATGGATGAATGGATAGATAGATAGATGAGCGGGCAGATGGATAAAGAATCTATAGCCTTATGTTTTGCTTTCAGGTTGCTTACTGCTCATGCATTTACTGGGTCTCTTTCCATGGGAAAGTGAGTGCACTGACAACAGCAATCTTGTATTTCTTGTTCACCGCTTCATTCTCAGGGCCTAGAAAAGGGCCTGACACATAGTCAACACTATTTTCTGACGTAATAAGCACTTTACACTTTACCATATATAAATACACATGCATTACTAAACAAGGAGGTACACATACTTCATGGATGGCTCAAGGGATTTTCATAAGTAATTTTGATTATATTTAATCTCTCATCACCATAATGACAGGGACTTTAGAATCTCCTCCCCTATCAATAAGACAACTCCACTATATGAGAAGGTTATGGCTGGGCATGGTGGCTCACGCCTGTAATCCCAGCACTTTGGGAGGCCAAGGCAGGTGGATTGCCTAAGGTCAAGAGTTCAAGACCAGCATGGCCAATATGGTGATACCCCGTCTCTACTGAAAATGCGAAAATTAGCCAAGCGTGGAAGCTCATGCCTGTAGTCCCAGCTACTTGGAGGCTGAGGCAGAAGAACTGCTTGAACCCAGGAGGTGGAGGTTGCACTGAGCCAAGATCACACCACTGCATTCCAGCCTGGGTAACAGAGCAACACTCCATCACACACACACACACACACACACACACACACACACACACACACACACACACTAACAACAACAAAAAAAAAGGTAATTGTGTAGAAAGTACTCTAGCCTGCAGGGATGCACGCGGTGTCCGGGGTGTTGTCAGTGTAAGTGTGTGAAAGATTCCACTCCTCTAGAACATACTGCCAGGCCACAGATCAGCTGACTGCTATTAGCAAATTCTTGGATGCAGGAGGGGTGTGCGAAGATGTCTGCATAATGAGATTCCTCTTTCTCCCTCCCTGAAATGTTAGAGCCATAAACGCCCACCACTTAACCAAAGTCGAAAGTGATTTCTGACTCCTTGGTGGAACAAGAATATTTATACTAATATTTTGATCCTAAAAGGCAAGAGTTGTGAGAAACTGGCACTAATGTAAATCAGCGCTCAGGGAATCCAGCACCATAATAACATCTATGCTGGGCACAATATGCTTCAGTAGTACAGCGAACCAGCAGAACGTACATTTGCCTCTAGCTTGTAGCTAGGTATATTCACTGCACCATATGCTGGTTTCTTTAAGTAACCCATTACACAGAAATTAAATATCTTGTGACAGATTGTTTTGACAGTGGAAAAAAAAGAAAGTGAAGAGAGTGGGAGAGATTTAATTTTTTAAAAAATGCATTTGACTGAAGGCAAAACGTTAGGTAGATGTTAATTTAACAGATGTCTAGTTTTGCATCATCAGCCTGAAACAGGCAATTTCTGGCAAGCCTTCTCACCACATCGCAGCACAAAATCCTCTCAATTCCACATGGTTATGCCTTTCACAACCTTCCAAGTGAGCCATTTTCATTCAAAGGAAATGCCTGAAATTACTCAGGGAAGATGCTAACACCTGGCAATAGTTTTAAAGGAGGAATCCATGAATGCATAGAAGTATAATGGAACGAAAGTCAGCTCACAGCAACGTTTTAGTTGATAGAAAAAGCAGAAGGAAATGTATTCACACTATAAAAAAAAAACAAAAAACAGCTAACACATCACAAAGTTACTGTGTATGATAAAATAACCTCCATCCCCATGGTGGTAACAGGTAGAGTTCTTTTTTTAAATCTATGGTACAGATACATCAAATCTCCATTGCCATTATTGAGATGTTGTTTGAAAACAAAAGCATCTGAAGAGGGACACTTTAGGTCCTCATTGTTTTTAGGCTGCTTCTTTTTGAAAAAACCCCACTCCTCCATATTAGGCCAAAACAGAAATCTAATAGTTACAAGATGTATAAATATCTGATTTATATATAACTGCATAACAGCTGACTTGGATAGCAGTTGACTAGCTGATATCATGTTAGTTTTGTTATTCAGTAGATATTTAATCAAACTTAATTAACTTGGATTTTGTAATTTTATTTTCATTTTGGAGCCAGTACATTTTATTTTTAGGACACAGATATTTTCATTAGCCTTATAAAGTTCAAGTGTACTAGATACAGTACAGGAGTGACCAAGAGGGAAAAAAAGGCCTTTCACATAAAATAAAACAAAGCTTATAGATTCGGGGTTGGTGTTATCCTCAGTCTTTTCACACCAAAGATATGTTGAAATTCATTCCTGGGTGAGGTCCATAAGATTGCTCTGCTACGATTGGCTGAGCTGATATACCACCACAAACACAGTTCCTAGCACAGTATTTTTGCGATAGATACTTCTAGAAAGAAGGAAGAGAGGCAGGAGAGGAAGGACGGAGAGAGAAAGGAGAAGGAGAATTCTGCTATTGATACTAAGGATTAAGAATCTATTCTTGTAGTTCAAAGGCTGCTCTACAATTCTGCAGGATTATTAATTAGCACTACTTATTTTAATAGCAAAGAACATTTTACAACTAATGCAATAGAACATTTCACTCTCAATAAACTGCAAGTTCCATTGCTCCCCCCACCCAATGCACACAGATTTCCAACAACTGAAAAATACATTAGAGAGCTCTGTGTGTCTGTGCATGTGTGTGTGTATGTGTAACCATTTGATTCAGCATTTTTATTTTTAGGTATTTAAAGTAAATGGTCTATATCTTGTTTTTTGACAGAATATGGTAAGAGGCCATCTTGAAGAGCTGAGAGAGATTAATGATATTATGGAAACCCTTGTAGAATGAAACAAAATTGGTGTGGTCTCCAAACAATTCAATACAGGGAAGTGTATGTGTGCGTGTGTGTGTGTGTCTGTGACCTGTAATAAATACTGCCTTAAAGAACACTGTCCCCAGGTGATTTCATTGTGCTTTACAAACATTGCCACTGTGGAAAATGAGGAAAATTAGCTTTGTGAATTCAAAGATGCTAAAATGCTTATTAGAAAAAAAATGTACAGGGAGCTAGACAGTTTACACCAACCACACATTCCTTCTCACGAGAGCAGTACCAAGTCAAGGACATGATCTGAAATTGAAGAAATTGGTAGGAGAAAAAATTTTAAACCACTATAGAACTGCAAAAAGAATAAGAAAAAAGTCTGTCAACACAAAAGAGTCCTTTCTCACTCTCTGAAATTCTAATCCAGTAATCATGTCTGCCTTCTAAAGCACCTTTCATCTGACTATCTCAAAGTCCTTTATGGTATTAAACACTCACTGAATCCCTGAGGTGGGTAAAATTATTCTAGTCATTTTACAAATGTATCTATTCTCTCAAACCTCTCATCCTGGGGAATGATAAGTCTGGGAATAAAAATCAAGAATCGATGAATGACCAGAGTTCTTATTCCTTTAACCTGTTTTATAATTACTTAAGGGAAAACTCCTTGATTTGCTACGAGAAAGTGCCCTGATGGATTATATTTATGTTTCTGATTTGGTGTAAATGATCTTAATAGATGCCAATGTGTTCTTATTCCTATCCTTGTCTCCACCTTTCCCTTTGTCCCTTAAATTGAAGGGTTGAAGAATATGTTGGACATGTGATAAAACAGAAAAATAGAAGTAATTAAATGTGCAAAGAGAAAACGAGCTCATTGCATATTTTGACATCTTCAGTTCTTAGGGACTATTATGAGGCTATACTCAGCTAGCCATGTGACCTTGGACCAGGCATAAGACCTCTTTGAGCCTCCGTTTCTACATCTGTAAAGAGAAAGTTAAACTGTGCAAACTCTAAAGTCCCCGGGTAGCTCCACTGTCTATTATAGGATTCCACATTTATAGACAAAATAGTTTCTGTATTTTGGCATGAATCTCCATTATGATTAAAAAGAAATAAATTTAAGATAAACATTTCAAAATATTTCGAAAAACAAAAGTGTGGTTGAGAAGCATTTGTAATGCCAAAACCACTCTTTGCCCTTCATGTGCCGCTGCTCTTAATGGATCCTGCAGAGCAAATACCTGTATTCACATTCCACCGCCAAGGCCGGGCACGGTGGCTCACACCTGTAATCCCAGCACTTTGGGGTGCTGAGGCGGGTGGATCATCTGAGGTCAGGTGTTCGAGACCAGCCTGGCCAACATGTACTAAACATACAAAAATTAGCCAGGCGTGGTGGCACGTGCCTGTAATCCGAGCTACTCGCGAGGCTGAGGCAACAGAATCGCTTGAACCTGGTAGGTGGAGGTTGCAGTGAGCCGAGATCAAGCCATTACACTCCAGCCTGGACAACAAGACTGAAATTCTGTCTCAAAATAATAATAATAATAAGATTCCACTTCCAGACAGATGCTGGTCTATCAAAAAAAGTGGACTTCAAGTTTAAGTCGCACTGGAATAACTCTGTGCTTTGGGCTGACATGTTAGGAATGTATCATTGCAGGCAATGGGACTGCCACTTTGAAGGTGAGATAAGCAGAGTCTGTATACTGAGAGTGCCCAGGAGAGGAGGCCAGCATAATGATTGAGGTGTCAATTATGGGGAAAGGGACAGAAATATGGCCTAAGAGTGTTAAGTTGTAAATTAGCACATTGAAGTTGACCGAGAGGTTAGTTTAGTCTTTTGAGCATGGAAGAAAGCCAAGAGCCCATGGAATATCTGATGCTTGGTTGTCATTATTTCTGCCTTGCGGAGCATCCCCTCCCCTTTTTAACTGGAGTCGCTGCCAACCCTCTCTCCGTAGGACACCTAAATCATGAGACTATCAAATGCAGGCACCCATTCACGATCAATCCTACCCTCTCTTTCCTAATTTAGGTTTACATCGCAAAGAATATTTACCTTCTGTGCAACCTTCTGTCACTTTAATGTTCAGTTCAGCAGTGAGCAAAGACTTAGCGTTAGTCATCGAGGGGAGGTCTGAGCTCACTGAGGCACCAGACTCCATTTCTTGATTAAAGATTTCCTTTCAGGTCTAGGATTGAAAGCTCAGCAGCATAAAGTTCACAGTCTAAGGTTCCTAGGGAGATCATGCCATTTATGGGAGACAATTCCAGTAGACAATGACTCATTCAATATAGGAATAATTTGAAAGTCAGGCATTTGCTTATGATCATTAAAAACAAACAAAAAAAGAAGACATGCTATGTGTAGCCCCACAACAATTGAGATGAATAACTTGGCCCGGATGTGTTCTCCATTAGGTGGTCCACGCAGCATGGCAGCTAAGTGTATAAACTCTGGAGGAAGAATAATGAGTTCAAACCTCTGCTTCACCACTTTCTAGCCTATGAATTTGGAGAAGTTATTTAATTTCTCTGGGTCTCATGTACTCCATCTATAAAATGACAATAATATTTTCTGACTCGAATGAGTGTTCTGAACATTGAATGAGCTGCTTCATATGTGATAAGTGTCAATAACTTTTTTCTAAAGAACTATGTTATTATTTGCAAATCATTATTACTAAACTTTGAAATGCATTCTATACGATGCTGCCAAGTTTGTTCCTTACCAATATTATTGCTATCATTTGTATGTATGGCCTGTCAAGTCTGTACGTATGGTCAAATTTACTCATGGAGGGCACGAAAAGGAACCTTGTCCAACAGCCTGTGCAGTAGATATAATTAAGATTATTATGCCCAAATTAGGAAGATAAAATGCAGTCTTAGAGCAGAGTATTTAAATAGGGCTTTGTAAAAGTTCACAAACTTTGGATGTACCCATAAAAGCATAAAACCATGTATCTTATGTGAAAGCATAAATCAGATTTTAGTGTAAGTGGTTTTTGTTAATGCCTTTTTTATTGTATTTGATGTATAATGCACTATCAGAAAGCCATACATACGTGTTTGAAGATGTAAAAATTAACCACGATTATTTTATTTGGGAGCCGTGACAATTAAATCTTTTAAAAAACATGTTTATCTAGCAAGATTCTGCCCTTTAATGTTGGACTTTCATTGTGTGCAGGTGCCTGAGTAATATCATTATAGAGAAGAGGATCTTTGACTGATCTGTTTTCATAGACTATTTTTAAAAGTGGCCATTTTAGAAGACCACCAAAAAGCCCAAATTGCTTGAATGAAATTACAGAGAAAACTGTGTACAAATATGTGTTAAGCAGTTATCTATGGAGGTTGTGGTTGGTAGTGTTACATATGTCACCTCGTGTAAGCTTTAGGACAACCTAAGAACAAGGCAGTATTATGTTCATTTAGTAGGGACATTTGCCAAGCTCAGAGAGAATAAATAACCAAACCACCAATCCTCAGTTCAAACCCAGGGTTCTCAGGAGCCAAAATCTCCGCTCTTTACATAGCATAACAGCTGTCCCAACAAGCTCAATTATTGAAATAGATCAGCAGCAAATAGAAAATATTTTCAATGACTTGAAAAGGGTCACTGAGCAGTAACCATGCCATTCTCAGGGACAGTGAACTATGTATTTGGACGCTGCTATATTAAAAAAAACAAGCCCTTACAGAATATACCTTCACATGATGCCTAGAGTTATTCAAACAAATGTTAATTCTATTCCCCAATTACACACATATTACTTCATAGTACATTTTATTGCCTGAAAGTGTATTTTTGCTTTTCGTTATTTTAAAATTGTGTATCTCTCCTTAGAATATCAGCTCCATGAGGGAAGGAATTAGTTTTATTATTTCTGACTCCCTAGTGTCTGTCTCCCAGGAGGGGCACCCAGTACACATTTGTTGAATGAAAGCGTGAATGATGAATGGATGAATAAATGAATAATAAGTAGATGAATTAATGAATCAATATATAAATATAGCTAGACAAAAACTCTACATATATAGGCAGGGTCTAAACATTCAAAAAGCATGAGTCTCATTACACTAGAGATATAATAGAATAAAAGTGCCCCTGATAAATTCCAGGGAAGATGATGTAAAAACATCCCTTTACACAATTGAAATCCCATTGTAGCTCTCAATGTTTCCAAGCTATAACATGATATTTTAAGTGTGCCCCTGGTATTATTATGCTAAATGGCACCGCGTGATTTTCATGCTATGTAATAGGATACTTTAAAATGCAGAGCTCAGGAAGATACCATCCTCTGTGGCTTTTCCATCATAGCCCACGTAAGTATCACATTCTGTGCTGATAATTCTCTCCAGGGCCCCATGTCCAGAAGATTACTAAACCATCAAACATTTATATATCTATTCACACAAGAGGGTCAACCATACACAACCAAGCGGTGACTTCAGAGGTGAGTAGAGGTCTTAGAATCCGCCCCTCCTCCCAGTACAGTTACTTCTTGATTTCAGATATGATAAAATACAGTCAGCCATATGACTCAAATCCAGGTAGATGCTATGGATCAAATTGTGTCTCCCAAAAGATCTTGAAGTCCTGGACCCCAGTACCACAGAAAGTGATCTTATTTGGAAATAGGTTCATTGCAGATGCAGTTAGTTCAATAAGACAAGGTCATAGTGGATTAGTAAACATAGCCATGTTTATCCAACATGACTTATGTCCTTATAGGAAGATGATGTTAAGACACAGGAAGAGAATGTCACACAGAGATACACAAGGGGAACTCTGTGTGACACAAGAGCTACAGCTTGGAATGCTGCGACTGCAAGCCAGAAAAACACCAAGAATTGCTAGCAAATCACCGTAAGCTAGAAAGGGGCAAGGAAGAATTCTCTCTTACAGATTTCAAAGGGCACATGGTCAAACTGACCCCTTGATTTTGGACTTCCAGCCTTCCAGAACTATGTGAAAATAAATTTCTACTGTTTTAAGACACCCAGTTTGTGTTACTTTGTTGCAGTTGCTCTATAAAACGGATAAAATAGGCATTGTTTTTGCAAAGAAGAGAAAAATCCTTTAGGAAAATATTGGGGAATCTTGGTGAGAATAAAGCATTAAGTCTATTATATTATTACTCAGTATGGAAGGTTGTTTACCAAGGTGGCCAGAACAATTATTCCCATCCCTATATCCAGGCACCTTGGCTGTGTGACTTCACCACTCCTCTCAAGAGGAAAGAGTCTATTTTACTTCCCCTTGAATTAAAACTGTCCTTGTGATTTGCTTTGACCAATAGAAGGTGTCACAGATGACACAGGACAACTTCTGGGCCTAGGTCTCAAGAGGCATCTCAACATCTGTTTTCAGCCCAATGGAATGTGGTACCACCGTTTGAGGAAGCTCAGCCTAGCTTGCAGGATGATAAGAGTACCACCCCCTCCGATGCTCTCTAAACGGAAGTGCTTAAGCTTGAGTGAGCATTGGAATCACCTGGAAGCCAGCTTAGAGCAGATTCCTGGGCTCCACCTCTAAAGTTTTAAAATCAGTAGTCCTGGGATGGCACCTGAGAACTTGCATTTCTAACAATTTCCTAGGTGATACTGATTGTGCTGGTCAAGTGATTACACGTTGAGAACCAACCAGGCTCCACTGAAGCTTGGAGACAAATATAGTCATGTGACGTATCCCAGGGGAGTCCAGCAGAAGAATTGCTCAGTTGACTCACAAGCTCCTAAGTTTTGGGGTGGTTTGGTCCAAAGCAAGAAATAACTGTGACGTCCAGTTATTCAGGCCATCTTGTGTGGCTGACTCCTAACTCATTATTGGTTTTATAAAATCTTCCGAATTTCTAGTGTAGAAATCCTTTGTAGTTGACAGAAAAAAAACCAGAAAATACAATGGTTGGCAAAGGTAAAGTTCTTGTTTGGGGGAAAAACAACAAAAACTTCATGAGAGATGCCTTTATGTATGAAGGAACCAGTAATGACAATACAAAAGCTATGCAACTGACTGTTTTTCATATTTGGCAATGACCCAGGGATATTTTTCTCACATTTAAAGGTAGATACGAATCACTTGAGAGGTTCACTAACATTTGGATTCCTGGGCTTGACCCTTCATGGATTCAGAAGGAGGAAGACAGGGAGACAATCTAGTTATCTGTATCTTTTGATAACACCCCCATTCATGGTGATTCTTATTCACATGATGTACAGATACATACATGCCAAGGAAAGACCTGATGGTGAGCTCCTAGGGGCAGACCATGTTTATAAATCTTCATGAAGTTCACTTGTTTTCAAGAGAAGCTCTTGAAAGGTATGTGTTAAACCATCCTTCTCTTCAATACAAAGCGCCTTCTTAGTGACTGACTTATGGCATTTTTTGTTATAATCACTTTCTTTCTTCCTTCTCTTCTGGCTTTTGGAAGGTGGAGGGAAAACCTCCTGGTGAGAGACCTCAAGGGCTTCTGGCTTACCTTATGCAATTGGTGGCAAATCCTTCCATCTGATTCAAGGTCATTCCCCATGTCTGGCCCTTCTCTGAATACAACTTGCCCACTGCCCAGGATACTTCCAGACTGAGTAGGCATGTTGAGTACACAGAGTGACCGTTGACTAAAATGGCGGCATGACCATTTAGTCAATGACCATTGATTAAACTTTCAGGACACTAGCTTTTCTTGTTCTGCCCCAACTCTAACAATCCCCTAAAGCAATTGCTATTTATATTTCAGGAATATGATTATATGCTTTCTATGATTGTGATTTTATTTCTCAAATTATTGCCTTATGTATCTGTCATGTAAAATCAGTATAATTTCAAAATATTTTCCTAATGCACATTGTTTCAGAGGAAATGAATTAATGCTCCTTGGAGGTATCAGAGATACATTGGAGGCTGTAATATCTTTGGTTTAAACCTCACTTTAAACCCCTTCAGTAGTTTTTGGTCTTGTCTCCAAAGAACACTTAAAGCAATTTGAATTATGACCAAATTTCAGTGCAGATATATTGATTCTAGAAGCCAGTCCTACTATTTACAACACTGAAGTGAGACGGCTATCTCTCTTTATGTGTGTGTGTGTTGATTAAAATTCCTGCTGCTTTGAAACAGAGATTTTTCAGCTTGTAGAATAATTTTTAAAGTTTTTAATTTACTCCAAACCTCTCTCTCAAAAAACACCTCACCCTCTAAAATTTTCTTTTTTACTTATAAACTACAGACTCCCCGTGGCATTTAATGAGTTACCCATCATTAACTCTGCAGGATATAGTCAATAAATTTAATATGTGTGTACTTAAATGAAAGATCTGACAGCTATGAATTGTAAATAGGAATTTGGAATGAACAGAGATTTTTACGAGTGAAAAAATAAGAACAACATCATTGAAACTTGCATTAACAATACATTTTTGCTAGCTACTTTCTTCAGGTTTTATTAGAAGAAGGGATTGATGCTTAAGGGCATTTGGGGACAAGATGGGGACAAAGTCCTATAATATTAGAAGCACAAATCTCTAGTGAGATCATTTTAGTTTAGTACCTATCCCCTTTCCATCTTATTCATGAAACAGGTGAAAAATAGTACCGTTCCCACTTCTGGGCCACTTGCCCTTCCATTTAGGAACCTTTCTAAGGAAGGTGAGAGGGAGAATTCATAAAGAAACCTAACTTTATGTTGTATCTTGGAAACTATGGGGGCCAAGGCAGTGACTTTTACTCTTTATCTACTATAAGTCAGAAAACAGATGAGGTACTTTGTGTAAGTAATCCCATTCAACTCTTTAAATCCTCAGTTTCTATAGATCTATGAAGAGATTCATAATTGCTACACTATAAATAGAAGCTTAGAAATTTTAAATCACCTGCCAAAGTCACACAGGTAACAAACTACGGAACTGATATGGCTCTACCTGACTCCCAAAGCTGCTCTGCTCTATCATCTAGATATTTATCTTTAATTTTGGGGTGGCAAATTTTTCCTTTAAAGGGCCAGAGAATAAATATTTTAGACTTTGTGGTCCATATGGTCTCTGTCGCAACTGCTCAACTCGCCCTGTTTTGGTGTGAAACCAGCCACAGACAGTACATAAACGAATGAGCATGGCTATATGCCAACACAATTTTTTTTATGGACACTGAAATTTGAATTTAATTTTCACGTGTCATGAAATATCATTCTTTGTTCATTTTCTTGTCCAATGATTTAAAAATGTAAAACCTATTCTTAGTTTACAGCTGTACAAAAACACACACATGTCTGGCTGAATTTGGCCTGGAGTCCTTGGATTTTGATCCCCTATGGTAATTCCCTAAGTGTCTGCAAATCAGGAGCTGTACTTGATGATTCTCTAAATTTGTGATAGTTTCCCACAGTGCCTAAAACAGAGTAGACCCTTGCCTGACACTTGGAGATTTGACTGAATATGTGGCTCTCCACAGTGTCATTTTTATTTTTCAATTGTGTGTTCCTTGCTTCCTTGTTGCTTGAGCCTAAATTTACTCCAACGATGTAATTTAAATATTTTTCGAAGAAAAATAAAAGTTGTATCACTTAAAGTTACTGTACCTTAACAAATGCACCTAAAGTGGCACTGTTTTTGCATGCATGAAAGCTCAAAGCCTCAACAACTCCCATGAGCGATTAATCTTCTAACACTAATTAGATATTTGCTAATTAGCGTCTGATGTGTGAAATGAAAAAACATTTTGAAGCTGAAATGAATAGGGTCTAGAAAGATAGGGCTGTATTCCAGTTCCCCCTTTTCCATATTATTATCATATTTCATAAATATTAATAAGATCACATGATACCAGCCGCTCTATAAAATTATCTCTCTGAATGAAGGCTTTTGTTTGATATAATAGGGATGTGTCAATATTTTGCATATGGAAGAAAGCACTCAATGAAGGAAAACATTTTTTTCTCAATGTTACAGAGATGTCATATTTCATAAATCACTTTTATGCTTGATCAACCAGTCCTACTTTTTAAACCTAGGTCTCATCTTCCCGTAAGAGAAGGTAGGAAACCTTTCTCCAAATCATCACTTCTCTTCCTTTCTTATACCTTAATCTTATCTTGGTTTAAAAGAAAACTTAACAGAATGGAAAATATTTTAAACCTATGCTTCTGTGCAATGAAAGAGTAGAAGTCATTACAGAATGGTCAATTTCAATAAGCACTTTTACTGGTTAAAAAAAAGACATTTGAATTTCATTAATTGCATGCATGAGGACAATCCTGAAAAAACCTCCATATGCCATCTTAATAATAAAATTTATAGAGAATGGGAGATTTCAGTGCTTCAAATTCACACAGTTATAATATTCAAGTCATAAATATTAAGTCATGTATTCTTAAAATGTAACATTTTGATTTGAAATATTTCTCAAATGAAAGCACACATTAAACATACTTGGTTCTGAAAGAATAGACCTATAATAATAAAGTATTTCAGTTGGTGTGAGACTTTTTTTTTAAACTACTCACCTGTGAATGCTGGTCATATCACAAATTATATCTAATTGCAGCATTGATACAGTAATTTGAAATGATAGCTAAGCACAAGTTGACAAAGGTGACATTGAAACATAATGACGATGAGATTATCGTTTTCTTAGGCTGACATTTTGTGATTATAATAATGCTGATCGGAATGATTAAAACCATAATGATGGGAAAGGTTTAAGAACCAGAACTAAACATACTGAGCCTAGAGAGAGCCTAACTCTTATTTTGCCTTCTGCGTTTCGACATGGTTTCTCCTTCCAGTGTAAAATTAGGCACATGCACTAGTCTCAGAGACTGCTGGAAACTGCAAATGACAGACAGCTTATTCTACCTACTCACAGAAAGTTCTGTTTTTCAAAGCTGGAATGAGAGGAGAAGGTCATCTATGACAATTTATCCATTTACCCTGGGGACTGTTTTCCGATTGGCTTTGAGGTTTATAGTCAGCTCCCAGGTGCAAAACACCAATACACTATCTGTACTGATAGTTACCTTCAGCTTAGAATTCATGGTGCTCCAAGGCTCTCAACTGTTACAAACACCAAGTGAATGGAAAAGTCTGGCAGACATTACCCTTTCACTTATTGTTAAATGAGAACAAAACTAGACAGCTTTTAATTACCAGCAACAGAGAAATGAGTCAAGGGGAATCATACCCAATCAAGACATCACCAGTCAATCCAGCAGGCTGACTGACAGAACCTGGGAAATGAAGGCTGTTCTGTACTTTGCTCAGATGAGCCTATTTAAACTGTATCAAGTTCAAAGTGTTTGATGAGCCTTGTAATTCCAGCTGAATTCTGAACCTCATTTCAAAAATAGAGGATAAGTATGTCTCGATTATTTGAAATCGCCTTTCCAACTACACATGTGTTTTCAAATTTGGCTTTCATTTATTTATGAGAGTCAGTGTCTTCAAGTATCATCAGATTCATGGATATTCACCTGGAAGCAATTCATAAAAACCCTCTGGCACACACTCTGTTAGGTCCAATTGTCCCATTTTGCCGATGAGGCAAGGCATAGGCTAACAAGTTTTGGATATAAGTACTGTCTCCTGATTAGAAACTCCTCATTATCCTACAGTGTCCCACATTCTGCAACATTTCAAACAGTTTCCTTCCTCCCTTAAGGTGTAAGCTGACTGCTTGTTTGACAGCTAAGTTGAATATCATGGCTTTGTAACCACCACTTACTTTTCTACAAGAAGTGTATTGAAGAAATACCTTACAGCATGAATTGGCTGGTATCTACAGGCATCCTACTCCTTAATAAAGTCTCTATTTCATTCAAAATCTTCATCCTTCTACATTTCAAGCTAATGATACCCACGTGGGTTATAACAGCACCTTTCCCCAAGGAGCGTCTATGGCTTTAATCTTTGCCTCATACCTGGGAAGATGGAAGAAGACAAAGGTCATGAGAGTTAGTAAAGGCTCAGATTCGTTCACAGTCAGCATCAGAGGTAGAAAGCCATGACTTTTGTTGAAGGTCTTGTTTTGAGAACAAAAGAACAAATGATCATCATTCTGAGATAACTGTACTCTTCCTGATAGACTAGGTTCTTGTTTCTCTGCTTTTAGTCAGCCTATCCTTAAAACTTTTAGTTTCTCCTTTTATACCAAGTGATAAGAGTTTACACAATAATTTGAAATGATTCCTAAGCACATATTCACAAAGAAGACACTGAAACATGATGAGGATGAGATTATTGTCACTACGTGACCAGCATTATAATAAATACACTTTATATAGTAATTTATTTATTCCTGACACCATTGTTCTCTTAGCTTTGCAGATGAAAAAATCTAGCTGAAAAAACCAACTGGCTTTTTTTTTTTTTTTTTTGGTAGAGATGGGGGTCTCACTATATTGCCCAGGCTGGTCTCAAACTCCTGTACTCAAGTGATCCTCCCACCTCGGCCTCCCAAAGTGCTATGATTACAGGCATGATCCACCATACCCATCCTCAACAAACTTTGAAACATTTCAATCCATTCCCTCGAAATCATTTATTGTGCTTGTACAGCATGCTAAACTTTGTACTGGGATGGGACGTCTAATCTTTTTTTTTGAGATGGAGTCTTGCCCTTGTCACCCAGGCTGAAGTGCAGTGGCGTGATCTTGGCTCACTGCAACCTCCACCTCCCGGGTTCAAGCGATTCTCCT
Source organism: Homo sapiens (assembly GCF_000001405.40). Taxonomy (NCBI): domain Eukaryota; kingdom Metazoa; phylum Chordata; class Mammalia; order Primates; family Hominidae; genus Homo; species Homo sapiens. Next base: position 167,536,929 of record NC_000005.10, on the reverse strand, counting down.
GCCTCAGCCTCCCAAGTAGCTGGGATTACAGGCACCCGCCACCATTACCTGGCTAATTTTGTTTTTATATTTTTAGTAGAGACAGGGCTTCACCATGTTGGCCAGGCTGGTCTCAAACTCCTGACCTCAGGTGATCCTGCCTGCCTCGGTCTCCCAAAGTGCTGGGAATATAGGCATGAGCCACTGTACCTGACCTGGACATCTAATCTTGAACTAGACAAATAGTCTCTCATCAACCGTAAGTCTGAGGCCTTAGGGCAAGCAAGTAATGAGTTCTACCTGTTTGTTGCCTGGCTCCATGCTAAAATCATAGGTATCCCAAATTTCTGAACTCATAGACTACTATTCTCTTTGAGTTCTAGGAGTGAGAAAACTATAGTACATGATCCAAATCTAGTCTGCAGCCTGTTTTTTTTATTGCCCACCAGCTAAGCATGATTTTTCTACTTTTAAAGGGTTATTTTTTTTTTTAAGTATATGGGATAGAGAAGAGAGATTATGGCTCACAAAGCCTTACATATTTACTATCTGGCCCTTTATAGAATAAGTTTGCTGATCATTATCTTTATAAAGTTAAATCTGCCTTCAAGGCATTTTACTTGACTTCTAAATAGCTTAGTACACCCTTTGGGTCTTTTTTTTTAGAGTTTTCCTGGTAGCGGTTATTATTTATTTGTAGCCACATGCCAGTCATTATGATAAAAATTTTGTATATTATAGCTTATCAATCTTGTTAACCCTCAGAATGAGCCTAGGTGGGTATTATTATTAGACTATTTACAGGTGAAGAGACTCAGGTTCAGGATGATCAAGTATCAGATCATACGGTTCAACTACTTGCCAGGATTCACACTCTGCATGGTGTAATCCCACCACTAGCCTATAGAGTATCTTCACACTAATAAGATAAAGCTGTCCCTTTTTACTGGATGCAACCATGTAGACTGCTTGGCAAAGGGATCCTAAGCTAGATTTCAGTGCCTCTTGCTCCCTTGACCCAAGTGCCCTGCACAACCATAAGCAGGTTGAGTTTATGAACCACTCTGATTTCTTGCCTTTGATTTGTGAGCTCTAATTCTTATGGCTTGTCTTAGTCCATTTATGCTACTCTAACAAAATACCTGAGACTAAGTAATTTATAAAGAATAGAAACTTATTTCTCATAGTTCTGGTGGCTGGGAAGTCCAAGTTCAAGATACTGGCAAGTTCAGTTTTTGGTGAGGGAATGACATCTTGATGCTGCATCCTCCAGAGGAGATGAACATTGTGTCTTTACATGGCAGAATGTGGAAGGGCCAAAGGGCCAAAGCTAGTTTCCCCCAGCCCTTTTATAAAGCACTAAGCCATTTATGATGGTGTAGTCATCGTGTCTGAATCACTCCCTAAATGCGTGCACAATGAGAATAAAGTTTCACCATGAATTTTGGAGAGGACGTATTAAAATCATGGCTTAATCTTAGTCTTCAGTGAATGTCTGCATGTTTTGTGTCTTCTCCTTGCCACTGTTTTCTCACCTATGACTTTGGCTTTTCTTCAAGCAGGGCCTGGGTTTCCTGTAAGCAGCATCACCACAGTCATCTCTGCTAGACTTCTCCTTGTCTCTAAGGTCCCATTTCCCTCAACCCTTGTATTTATGTCACCCCTTTGAGGCGCAGAAAAGGGACAAAGGGGAGCTTGAGTATCTCTAACCTCCTACCTCTGTTACAGTGTGGCTAGAGTGTCGTATAAGCAGATACCCCCCAACCCCAAATGGTCAATAACTTATGTTGTGTACCCTGTGGACATCTTACTGGAATCTTCTGAAGAGATGCATTGAGAGGTACAAGCAGAAAAGGAGACTGAAAAGTTATCCCAACTTGGACTCACACAAGTTTTACAACTGGGTTTGAAAAGAAAATAGACAACTATTTTTATCTCTGAGAAATGATGATTTTACTTAACCTAGAACTACTGTGTTAACAACATGCTGCCAACTGACAAAGATAGAAAAACAAAAGAAAGAAGGAATCATGTTAAGGAGAAATTTTAACCTCAAGAAGTGCAGGTCATCATGTATTCTGCAGGAGATGTAGGTGACATCAGGAATGAGGGACAACTGGAGTGACAGGACAGAATGGAAATCCACGTTGACAGACGATAATAGAAGAAAGGGGAGTTCTCATCAGCTCTCACCGTGTTATCCCTACGCCATCACAGCTGTCCTCTCCATTCGAGGTCTCGTCTCCTCTATCCCGCACACCAAATTAATTATCCTAAGAATTATTTTATCTTGTCACTCCATTGCTCAGATACCACTCAAATGGTTCTCGCTGAATAAAGTCCAAATGCTTTCCTGTGGCACTCCACATCGAGTTGCCAGATAAAATATAGGACACCCAGTTAAATTTGGATTTTGGATAAACAATTGATAATTTTGCTCAGTGCATACTTATGCTAAAAAAGATTACTTGTTGTTTATCTGAAATTCAAATTTAACTGGCTCTCCTGTATTTTTATTTGCTAAATCTGCAAATCCAAAGGCAATTTGCACAGGGCCCCAGCCTTCTTTTGGAGTCTTATGTTTTTGCAGTCCATTAAAGTGGTTTTCACGCTCTTTGAAATGCAAAGGGAGCATTCTTGTCTCCAAGCCTGACTCACATTGGCATCCTCCCTTAGAACGCCTATTTTATTTTTTCCTCTACCCAGCTGAGGACTACCCACAGTCCCTTATGAGTATTCTTAGCCTCTGAGATCTTACATCTATGAGACATCAATGTAATCCTCATTTGACACTTGGTAAGTAACTGTTTTGGGTTTTATCAACACATTTGGACACCACTGGCAGGGTCGCATCTTTAGTTATTCAGCTCTTATCCTCACCTGATCACTCTTTCATGCTTCAGATGTGTCCTTCCTTATGGACACACACTCAGTGACTCAGCAAGGCCTAAACCTCAAGCTTGTTGCTTCTTCAAGCCTCTGAGAGGTTCAATAGCTTGTCTACAAACCACAAGTCTAACAAGTGACAGGAGTTTGAACACTAGTTAAGAACCAGTATGTTGGACTCCAATACCATGCTGTCAATTTTTATTGATTCCACTCCTTCATATATCACACATCTAGATCTTCCTTTCCATTTCTGTTGCATCCCCTGCCATGCTATGTTACTTAACAACTATATAAGAACAGCCAACCAGGCATGATGGCTCACTCCTGTAATCCCAGCACTTTGGGAGGCTGAAGTGGTAGGATTTCTTCAGCTCAGGAATTTGAGATCAGCCTGGGCAACATAACTAGACCCCATTTCTATAAACAATAAAAAAAAAGTTAGCCAAGCGTGGTGATGCATGCCTGTAGTCCCAACTACTTGGGAGGCTAAGGTGTGAAGATCACTTATTTGAGCTCAGTAGGTCAAGGCTACGGTGAGCCATGATTGCACCATGGCGCTCCATGTGCTCCAGGCTCGGAGACAGGCTGAGACTCTGTCTCAAAAAAACAACAAACAAACAAACAAACAAAGAAAAACAACCACCTGGCCAATTTCTCTGCATGCTTTGCCTCTCCCAAGCTTCTGCCATAACCCATTGTACTCAAGCCTGTACAAATAAAACTTTCCAAAACCACTATGAACATGGTACCTCCAAGTTCAGAAACTTCATTCTTACCAAGTTCATTGGCTTGTTTTTCGGGTTATCCATTTCCTCACCCGAATCCACTGTTTTGCTTTAACTCTTACTAAACCCTTTCATAAACATTTTTACCCAAGCCATACTATCTTTCACTATTTCAATTTTTCTGCTTTCCTGTGATTTCTCCTGGAATCTTTTACCTTCCTATCTCTAACGGTGAGGGTCTTTCAAGTTTCTACTAATATACTATCTCCTTCAAAGCACTCCTGAATCATCCAAATCAGGTCATTGTAATTTTGATTTAGGAGGAAGATCTGAAAGTTCATCTCATATCACATTCTAGTTTTCACATTCATATTTTGGATACATATTCTATGTTTCTACTGGATAAATATTTTGTGAAAGTTGGGGACTATAGTCCCATGTCTTGCTTTCATCACATCATCTAGATTAGATTATACAGTTTACAGGATAGCATATATATATATATATATACACACACACACACATACACACAAATATATATGTGTATATGTGTATATATATGTGTATATATACACATATGTGTGTATATATGGGTGTGTGTATATATGTGTGTGTATATATACATATATAGATATGTATATATACACATATAGGAGATACGGTTTGGCTGTGTCACCACCCAAATCTCATCTTGAATTCCCACAGGCTGTGGGAAGAACTTGGTAGGAGGTAATTGAATTATGGGGGCAGGTCTTTCCCCTGATGTTCTTGTGATAGTGAATAAGTCTCATGAGATCTGATGGTTTTAAAAACGGGAGTTCCCCTGCACAAACTCTCTCTTTGCCTGCTGCCATCCACGTAAGACGTGACTTGCTCCTCCTTGCCTTCCACCATGACTGTGAGGCCTCCCCAGCCACATGGAACTGTAAGTCCATTAAACCTCTTTCCTGTATAAAATACCCAGTCTCGGGTATGTCTTTATTAGCAACTTGAAAACGGGCTAATTTTATATACATATATATATAAAAAGAGAGAGAGAGAGAGAGAGCATGCATGACAGAGAGTTGTATATATAAATTCTAATGACTTGTAACTAAACTTTTTGTATATCTTGTCTAACACCACCTTAAATGTCTTAATGAGACAAAGAACAACTTTCATGATCCTAAGACGTCAGGCAATTTATTTGCCTTTTCTAATATTCAGTTTCCTCACCTGAAAATGGGGAGGGTATTAACAGGAGCCTCATGGTGTGGCCATGAGATTAAAGATGAGGCCACACAGACCACTTAGGGCAGCTTAATATCCGTGTTTGAAGAAAATTCTAAGTAAAGATGCACTGAATAAATGAATGGTATTAAGAGATGCTCTTTTTCCACTATACCTAGGAAACAATCAAATCCACAGCATAAATCAGGCTGTGAAAAGACAACGTGCTGGGTAATAAGGTTTATAGGAGTTCAAGTATGGACAGAGAAATGTCTGAGTCCTAACGCCCATTGCAGGATAACTAATTGGCTATTATTTATTACAAGAAAGCTACAAAACCCCAACAGCTTTGAATCTTAGTTTATTTATTAATAAGTGAAATAAGCCAGGCACAGAAAGACAAATGCCACATGATCTCACTTACACGTGGAATCTGAAAACATTGAACTTAGAGAGGAGAAAGGGGTGGGTGAGAGGTGCAGGGTGGGAATGGGGAGATACTAGTCAAAGGGTACAAAGTTTCAGTTAGAGAGGATGAATAAGTTCTGGAAATATATTGTACAGCACGGTAACTGTAGTTAACAAAAAGCATAGTATATTTGAAAATTACTGAGAGAGTATCTTAAATGTTGCAAAAAAAAAAAGATAAGTGTGAAGTGATGGACGTGTCAGACTGTCTGATTTAATCATTCCACAATGTATGCATATCAAAACACAGCTATACATTGCAAATAGATACAATTTTAATTAGTTAATTATAACTTAGTAAAGCTGGGAAAATAGAAAACAGTGAAATAAAATAAAATGATAGTATGCTCATTAGAAAAAGAAATAGTAGACTGCAGTTTCTGAAAACAATAAAGCAAGCCTGCAGTTCTTGGCCTAGTATTTCAGAACCACCAGCACAGGGCATTCCTGTACATACAGAAACAACAATCCGCAGAATCTGAGAGGTATAAGGGGGGAATACAACATTAGAAACCCCTCAAAAATACAGGAAGCCACTGCTTCAGCCACTTCCAATGCTTAGCAAGATTTGTCAACAGAATATTAGATGTCCTGTGACACCCCGGTGTCATTCATTTGAAGGCAGTAAGTGAAACCTCTTTAGGCACCCCTGCTACTTGCAGTCAAGGATTGTGTATTGCTCTATTTTCTTCACTTCAGCTCAGTCCAGTCCTGTACCCTCTTCAGCCTCCTCCACTCAGACGGAAGAGTTAATGCAGTTAGATTGCTCCTGGGCTTCTAGCGGGACTGCTTCAAATGATATTACTTCCATTTGCGACGTGCATCACCAGCAGGGCTCACATTTGAGGGAAACAGTAAACAGACATCTAAGTCCGCTTGCTGGAAGAGAAGCCGCGCTTCCCCACTGAAAGGACGGCAGCGACAGGGCTGTAAATTTGTCAATTTCCTGAACAGCTCTACAGCGAAGCACAGGGCTCCACCTGACTGGGACTCTTGAGCAGGGGCCGATGGCTCCGTGCTCACAGGATCTGGGGGAACCTTGTTTCCTGGATCAGGAGCCCATTTTGACAGCAGGGGATCGATGTAATGAGAGTGAAAACTTAAACCAGGGCTTTCTGCTGATAACTGCCATTTTGTGAGAAAATCCACTTTGGGGCCAAAAATATAAGGGTCTAAAAAACATCCAGCACATAGTTTCTCAAGGATTAAAAGACATAAGAGAAGGAAAGTATTAAGCCCAGGGCCTAACACACAGAACTAAAGAAAGGGTGCCTGCAGTTTGCACAAACATACTCGTACTTACAGATGGATAGTCACATGAAAATTTTTAGGTGGCCCACCCTAGCTTTATTCCTTATTCTTCATTTTTTAAAACTGTATTCCTTCTAGAACAGTCTTTCTCAAGTTATCTGTAGAACAACTGATTTTTGTTTTTAAAATCCGATCTGTCACAGATGTAAAATATAATAAAAATGAATAGAAAAATGAATATCCTGGTTATATCAAATTGCTCTAAAAAGTTTCTAAACACTCTCACTTTCTCCATGTATCTTATTGTGGATTGGTAGCAGTTTGTTCTGCAGATTAACTTTGAGCAGCACTGCTTTGGGATACATTCTATATTGCTTAGTACAAAGGACTTTTCTCACAAAAATGGTCAAGGAACATCTATTTTTCTTTGTGATAGATAATGTATATAACCAACTTGTTACAATACTGCACCCCAATGAATTGAATTTTGGAAGAGTAGCCATTCCTTTCTTCTCTATTCCACTCAACAGCTTCAAACACGTTGGTATGAGGTTCCCAGAGGACCCACAAATGCTGGTACAGTGAATGCCAAAACCTTTGCTGCCTGTGTTTTCTATCATCACAAGAGGAATTTAGGAACTTAAGAGAGTTAAGGGAATATATTAAAGAATCTGTAAAATTTACCTTTACATTTGTTATTTGTGCCCTCATAAGCTAACCCAGTCACTTATTTCTGTACCAATCAACAGAACCCCATTAACTGTCTAAGTGAGCATACACGTGACTTCACTGTTTTCAAGGTTACCCTTCATCTCAGCTCACTCTGTATTTACTCATGTGTTCAGACATTCTGGGCTTAAGATATATGCTGGTTACTCTACAAAAGACAGGAAAGTTCTCCTAAGTGCAGAAAGTGAACACATTAAGTTGCAATACAGGAAAGACTAAACCAAGAAGCATGGCAATGGATTCTAGTTATAGCAACATTGCTGAAGAGTCATAATATTACAGAATGTTCAAGGGCTTAATGTAACTCCAGGAGATCACACCTCAATCTTTTTATTTATAAATGTGAAAACTACAACAGGGACTTAAGAGTCACTGTTCTGAAGCAGGACCAAGAGTCTGGCTCAGATGGAAAGAGGGGCTGCAATTGAACAGAAACCATTTGCTGACTGATTTGCTTTTTCTCAACCTTAAGATTCCAATTTATAAAATTGAAAAAAAAATACACTTCACTTATTCACTCAATTATCAAGATCTACAATATGTAATACTATATGAAGAAGAGAAAAGAGTTCTCCAGATAAAAGGAGAGAAGCCAAGCCAAGGCTTTCTTACTGATTATTATCTTTACCATTATTAGATATAGATTTAAAGCAGACTATTAGAGAAATCATTTTCTATTTTGCTTAATCTTTCTACTTCTACCACACCTACAATACTTACTCGAATAAACTAAAATGAAAGAAAAATCACGTGGGAATATATAGTATAGAATTTCAAAAAGCCTAAAGATAGTTCTTAGTGACAAAGGACCACCAACAGGGGGCTACTGTCTTTCTAACAAACACACAGCAAGGAGAGACAAGGATGTGAAGAGGTTATGGGAATTCATTTCATTGAGTTCAACAGAGATTATTTTAAGATATGAGTAGAATAATATCAGTCGCTGAGCAGCTACGAACGCTGAACACTTCAACATAATCATATCTTCTTTGCTAAGCACCGTACAGTGTATGGTGGATTGGAAGGATAAAATTTGAAAAAGTTAAAAAATTTTCTCCATTTATATAGCTAGACCGACAAAAAGGGACTTGAATCCCAGCTCACTTAGTATGTGGCAGATACTATGGTAAGAATTTTATATACATGACTTTATTTAAGCCTCCCAACAAACTTCTAAAGTAGGTGCTATTATATGTCAAGTTTAAAGATGAAATTACCCAGACGCAGATTGAGACATTAAGCTACACCTCTTAGTAAGGCAAAGAGCTGGGATTCTGAATGCAGTACCCATGCTTTGTTCACATTACCACACTAGCTCCCCAGTACCCTCTTCCATCTGGCAGCAAGAGGTAGAATATTTAGCCAAATATTGCACATCCCTAGCCCAAGAAATCTCACAGTCCATTTTGACTTCCAAATGAGCTAGGGGCACTGGAAGGAATGACCTTTCTTATCTAAGATGAATACATTTCCCATTATTGCACACGACTGTCACACTGCATCATTCAGCATTGCTCCCTAATTCGCAGCCTCCAAATCGTCAGGCTTTCACTGGACACTTTAATAATTAAAATTTATCTTAAAAAAAGGCAATATGAAATTTGTCAGAAGACTGACTTTATACAGCTATCAAAGCAAAATACTGAATACCTTGTAAGGCCTTATTAAAAAGAATTTAATGGACTTGAGCTCAAACTTTTTTATTCCCCTCCTTTCCCACCAGAGGATGGAATTTCTCTAGAGGCTTCAGAAAAGCTACATGACATCTTGGTGCAGTTACTCTGATAGAAAAAAGATGGACTCGGCCTTGTTAGTACATTGAAGGTTAACTCTACCTGTCTTCCTCTCCTCAGGACAAGAACCCCCTAACTCTATTGGATGATTAAACCTTCATCCAATAAGCATTTATTGAGTGCCTACTGTTTGCTAAGGTTGAAATACAAGGATTCATGGTCTCTACCCTCACAGAATTCTGGATTTATAAGTCATAACGTGCAAATAATGTATTTGATGAAAAAATAAGAGATGTATGCACAGAATATTATGAGATCACAGGTGAATAAGAAGTATTTCTACACTGAGGTCAAGAAATGCTCTAAGAAAAAACAAGGAGCATCTTCTCCCGTCTTTGGAGTATTAGCATTTGTTGACTAAGGGGGACAAGGGCTAGGGCAATCTAGGCAGACGGAACAGTGTAAATACAGACAGAGTCCAGAGAATGCAACACATGAGGAGTAAAATGATAGATTAGAAAGGATGTCAAGCAATTATATGAAAAAAAATCATAGCATGAAATTCTGGTTGTTCAAATATTTGATATCCTGTACACATACTTTATAAATATCTGCTGAATTTTTTTCTTTTGTGGTGGGTGGGGGACTGTTCTTTTCTTAATTTTTAGTTCTAGCAAACACAATCCTTGAGCTTGCCTGTGCATGAGGGCCTACGTCATATTTCAGATATGTCCTTTTTGCATCAAAAAGTTAAATCCAAGAATGTCTTTTTTTCTATGTGGTAATGCAAAGTTTCAGTTGTCCATCTTTATAAGTAAGAATTATCTCCCTCCATGGCGATATAGGTGAGTAGGGGTGGATAAGAAGGGAGTGTTGGGAGAGAGTGTGGAATTCCTGATCAAAGATTCTTTAGTCCAGAGAGTTCATTCTTCATGCCAGGAGACAGGGATTGATTGAATTTGAATCCAAATGAACTCCATGCTGTTTTGATGTATTGTGGGTCAGATAAGGGTACAGCATACGCCCTCAGAAATATACCTACGAATATTTCAGCAAGACTCCTTAATCTTACGTCTCTACTTAAAAGATCTGTGAACATCTCAGGAGCAGGTTTCCACAGACACTGAATGAGATTTCATTCAAGAAATACAAAGGTTCCAAATATATACTAACGGAGAAAGCATTATCTATGGTAGAAGGCACAATCAGCCAATTAGCCATTGAATAGGAATTAGAAAGAAGGAAATCTAACTTCCTAGGAGTAAAGATCCAGAGAAATTTTTCTTAAGTATTAATATACTGGCATGTATAAAATAACTTTTTAATAAGAATTATAAAAATATATATTGATTCTAAAGTAATCACAAAGCGTAAACAAGAAAAAAGAAAAAAACAAACAAATTGCACTTCAAGTCAATCCACAGTTGTTATTGTTTCCCGATTATACAAGTAGTGATATAGGCTTCTTATGAAACATTAAAAAAATAGACAACCATGTATTCTCATTACCCCACTGTTAGCAATCTGTTGCAGAATATTCATTCTTCTTTTCTGTGTGTGTGTGTGTGTGTGTGTGTGTGTGTGTGCTATTTCTTAAACAGATAATGATAGGTAGTTTTTGACATAGGTAGCTGACTCTATGCATTCACATCTTAAGATTATTTTTCAGAGATGACCTCTATTATCCCAGTTTTAAATATCCTTGCTTCCCTATTTAGTCATTTTTAATATCTGGATTTTGCAGTAGAGGTCTCTTTTTGCTGTTCATGAAGGCACTAGACATTGCTATGCAAATATTGGGGGCGCTTTATATTTTATTCTTATTTTTATGAATATATAAATGAATATATTTCTTCCTTTGTTAGGCAGGTCTTTCTTCTTTTGTTAAATGGGTTGGCCATTTACAAGGAGACCCATTTCTGAATATGCATAACATAAAGAAAAAAGACATTTGCTATCTAGATTTATGTCCTGGTAATTGGGAGATGATAGAGATGTCTTAAAGTATATAATAATGATAGTAATAATATTAGTAATAAAAATAATACAAGCTACATTTTTCTAATAGTGTCAACCAAGTCACATAACAAATGAAGATAGTCGTTAGGAATGCAGGTTTCACTACTTGCTTCTCTATTTTCCCCTCATACTTCTCAAAGAGGGTTATAACCTGCTAGAAATTTCAAATCTAAGGTGATTCCTACCATAGAGCTCCTGATCTGAGAATATAAAATGATCGCAGTTTAAAAATGGATACCTGGTGAGAAATCACCACAGGAACACATAGAAATGGAAGAAAGATTAGAATTGGTCCTATAGGTCCCAGGTCAATAGGACTTTAGCGATACCCAGAGTGTCTTCTATAAAGAGAAGTCAACCATGTTGAAATTTCCATATTATTGGCATCTCATTTTCCTTAATGTTTGTTAAGGAATTACCAGCACACTCATGCATTCTTTTATGATAACAAATCTCAGTAGAGCTGAGCCATATGTTGCTCCTTGGTTCTTGGAATAGAGTGCTTAGGTTGGTACGTGGAGCCTCAAGACCTATAAATAACTTCTCTAGGAAACACCATTATATAAAGAGAATCTGACCTTTCAAAAAGACTGACATTTGGATATTGGTCAAAATATTATTTCTTAACATTAAAATACGTCATCACAGTGTCATAATATTGTGACACATGATCATGTCACATCAGACCAACCCCACAAAGTATCAGTCTAAGCAATCGGCTTACACAGATTTGCGCATTCAAAGGAAATTCTTTCTGATGTTCTGCAGGGTTGGGAGCAGCTTGGAGAGAGGGCAGTGTGTAATTTATGCACTTGATTTGGCAACTGGCCAACACAGTTTGGGAAGATCAACACAGAAACTGCTCATCAAGCTGATTAACAAACACAAACAAGGGATGATTCTTGTTAACAGCACCAGGTTGGGAAATACCAAAATATTGTGTTTCCCATAAGAAGCTTGCAAGAGTAACCGTGGGCACCACTTCAGATGTGTTACAGTTTATGCTGCTAACTTCTTCCAGGTGGGATGAGAGTTTAATTTGTAATAGAGAGAACTGGCATTTCTTTTTACCCCATCATTTGTGAGCGTGTAAAAATTCTTATGTAGTAAGAGAGGGGTTTAATCCTCATGTTCGATTTTCTTGGGGAACTGTTTCGAAAATAGCAATGACCTGGGGTTCCCACCATCAGTGACTTTGATTTAATTGGTCTGGAGGAGGAGGGTACATTTATGCCTCTGGTATTTTTTTGAAAGCTTTCTAGATGATTATGACATGCAGCCAGTTAATCTTCTCATAGGTAGCACCAGCCTTACTTGGGAGCTCGTTAAAAAGCAGAATTAGGCTTCATCCAGATCTAAGGAATCAGAATCTGCATTTTAGCATGATTCTTACTTAGGTGAATGGTACACACATTACATTTTGAGAAACGCTGCCATAGAGAAAGGAGATAGAATAATAAAGATATTTACCCATGTTTGGTAATAATAAAGATAATACTGATGAAAATAATTGGCATAGCTAATGCTTATTAGGTGTTCACTGTGTGCCAGACACTCTTCTGAACACTTCACATGCATTAACCCCCTTAATTCTCAAAACAATATAGGGAAGTAGGTATTGTTATTATCCCTATTTTTCAGATGAGAAAATTGGTGTTTATGAACTTGTACAAAGTCTCATGGCTATTGATGGCAGATTGGGCACCTGCAACAATTTTCTCCCTTTGTATTAAAGAAATACACAGTTTATCAGCCAATAATGAATGAAATTGAAGGACTTGGCATTCTAACACACTGGCCTAATTCAGAGATGCTGACTCAATAGGGATTATGGTCTATATGGAATGTGAATGGCCTTGCTTTCTTTACCTATAAAAGAATCATAGGCTAACTGAGATGAATAACCAGTAAGTATGAGATATTAGGTAACCTGGGGTACCATTATCTCCAAGATACTCAAGGATCAGACCACATTTACGACTTTGAATTTGGATTTTAACTTTATTCCAGGATCATGAAACTCAGCTGATCTCAATGAAGGGCACAGAAACATAGGCAATATTTCCAGAAAGGAAATATTGGACTAATTAATGCTCTCTTTTCTTCGTAAGAAAAACTATGAGAGTTGCATTTGGGGAGATATTTTCTGAAAGCGGCAAGCTCTCCCCTGGTCAATCTAAAATAAATATTATTCTATTAGGTGCTAAAGAAATATTTGTGGAGTTAATGAATATGGTTACAAAGTGCTCTCTCAAAGGTAATTTTATTCTGTTTTTCAGACATTGCAGCCCTCACAGCAAATGTGGCGCATAGAATAGTTTTATTTGTCATGAGTAGACTCTTTTTTTCAATGAGCGAACACCAAATATCAAGGGATTTTACACATAAACACGTAGACACAAAATCCAGATTGTGTCTACACATTTATGTGTAAAATCCCCTGATATTTGACGTTGGCTCACTGAAATCTAGCTTGTTGAATTGAATTGAATCGAATCTAGCTTTTGCTTTAAAATGGGAAGATCCTACAACACGGAGCCCACATTCCTGTGTGCAACCATCAGCCAGCACTGCATGGTGCTGCCCACAGAAATGATGCACGTGCTCAATAGTTACCTGCTGTCCCACCTGTAGTGGGCTAACTGGGGTGGCCTCCAGAAACAGATGTCTATTTCCTAATCCCTGGAACCTGCAAATCTTACCTCCTGTGGCAACAGAGTGGCTATTACATTAAATGGCAAAAGATCTGATCAGGTATAATCTTGAGAGGAAGAACTTACCCTGGATTACCTGGCTGGGACCTAGATGCTATCACATGTATCCTTACATGAGAAAGGCAGAGGGAGACTGAGACAGACACACAGAGGAAAATGGAGCAGAGGGAGATGGGCCCACAAGCCAAGGAATGACAACAGCCTTCAGAAGCTGGAAGAGGCCATTGCCTCTTCTCCCCTGGTTTTTGCTTTTGGCCTCCAGAACTGCAAAAAAATGAATTTTTGTTGTTTTAAGCCAGCTGGTTTACGATAATTCATTACGGCAGCCCTAGGATAGTCACATAATACTAACACACATAGCTGCCTAGGTGAAATCACTTGCTTTTTTTTTTATAGGGCAGAGGCCTATTTGCTGGGTAAAGTGTACAAAGTAGGATGTAGTAGTAATATTAATAGCTACCATCTCCCAGGGCCAGCTACTCTCTAAATCCAGGCATTATCCCTTAGATGAATCTAGTTGAGATTCACTCATTTTTCCTCTATGCTATCTTACTATAAAAATGTGCCTTTTAAGTAGATTTTTATTTTTATATGATAACTTTATAAAATTCCATAAAGAATGTATTTCCCATCAGATATAAAATAAATAATACAGGCAAAAGATCCTAAAGGATTGAATACTCTATAGCCCTCATTTCACAAATGGGAAAAAAAGACCCAGAGAAAGAAAATGAGGGGTCCAAAATCACACAGATAATTAAGGCAGAATGAGGAACAGACCTCCTCACTCTGGGTTCATTACTCATTTCACATCTCATCCAACCTCTTTTTCATAATCATCAGAGTGTTACTTTTACTTCTTTGATGATTGAAATAAGGCTGACTGTGAGTTCCATTTAATAAAGTGCCATTTTTGTTCAAGGGTAGTATTGTCATGCCCTGAATCTATCAAAGGAAATGCTGTAACTCCATCTCCAAATAGGACTTTTTCTAAGCAAACTAATTTATCCAGAACATTTAAGTCACTTCATGTTTAACTATAAAAAGGTCTTGTCATGATATAAGTAGTGTTGAATACATTAAAGAGTAGGGATATTTTTAAAAATTGGACAGGGACAACTCAACTGGTCACTTTTTAAAGAGAAGGGAGAAATGAAAGAGAATATGTCTTAACCCATTTATTAGAAACATTTGAAAGGTCTTAAGAAAACCTGAAAAATATAATTGTGCTTTATAAATTGAGGATTAATATAGAGTTCAGCACTCAAAGGATACCATAAATTAATATTGTGCACCAGTGTTCTTCTTGGTAAGAGAAAGATAGAGAGAGAATCTTTTAATTAAATTTTATTTCTAAAGGTAATTTTTGTACAGTAATCAGAGATACTCCAATAAGGGAAGAACTGGCTAACACAGTGCTGTATTAGCTAAGTTTTACACCTTTCTAAGCCTTAGGTGGTCAAGTCACATTTGGATTCCATTCTGCATAAATTTCACGCTCCAACACAACAGCAATATTTTTCTCAATGCTGATCCCAGAACTCCCTAAAAAACACATGGAGTCTGAATTTCTGGAACTCATTCATGAAATAATAAGGATTTCTGTAACCAGTCAGAAGGCATATTAAAATGCCATGGCAATGTGTTTGGCTATGCCAAGATCCCACCAGACACAGTGACAAGCTTGATTCACCAATGCCCAAAATAAACCTGTATATGATGAATGTTTCTGCAGTGTTCCTGGGTAAATTTAGTGGTTTTCACCATGTCTAATTCTAGCTACGCCAGAGCCTATTTGTTCAAAGTCAATGGATATGCCCTAATTCAAAATTTGAATCTCATTTTATATCTTTCTCTGCTGGTATGCAGAAGGGCTAAAAATTGACCAATCTTGCCTTAAGGAAAAAAATGTGAATATTTGAGTAGTGATATACTTGCATTTTATTGGTTCAAGCAATGGATCTCAGATAATCCACTTAATCTAAGACACTGAAAGTTAATTTTCGGCAACCTTTGTCTCTGGCTATAAATATCCTGAATGTTGTTTATTTATTTCTGAGACCTATGTATCATGGCATATGGTTGCCTATGACAACCTCTGCAATAACAACCCCAACCTCAGTCTCTCCAGAATGGTCAGTTCCATATGACCATGTTATTGGCTCTATGACCCATCTATTACCTCCATCTCATCAAGTTTTGGCTAATTAATTAGGAACGAGCCCTGATTTATAGGCAGTTTGTGGTAAACATGACCTGGCACCAAAAAAAAAAAAAAAAAGGAAAAAGAATAAATGGAAAAAGTTGAGCTGAGCCAATATGTTGGGAATATGAACTGGTACCGGGAGAGAATTAAGTCGTTAAAAATTGGAGCTGAAAGTGAAAGGCCCAATTGAGAGAAGTCAAACAAGCAGTAGAGGCCATGTGGAAGTTGAATTATGAGGAAGCAGGAATAGGGAGGAAGCAGCGCCATGACGTGGAGAAAAGATGAAGAGTAGAGAGAAGAACACACACCTAGAAGGCAAGCCACACACTTCACAGACAAAGCACTGGAATGACGAATCATAAACTCTATTCTGCAGAAGTCTCTTCAACCTTTTGGTATCAGGAACAATCTATTTTTAAACAAGTCTGCCCATATCCAAATCAGCCCTCTCTTTCATCTTTTCTAAACATGATGGACCAAATCTTCACTGGTTTCTGTGCATTATGATCCTCATACAAAAGCCTTACCCTCCCATCTCATACTGAAAGAACATGAATGAGCCTGTTTCTGGCAAGCAAGAGGAAGATTAACTAAAAATATGTTACAGGCCTAGTCATTCATCTGAAGATGTTACACCATTTGTCAGGTTTGATTAGGTACTCTTTGAGATATCTCTTTACTTCCTGCCGAGATCCTGCTGTTTCATAACCACTTTGTTTGCTGTTATACAGCCATCTACATTTTAGGCATCTTGATGTGTACTGCTCAATGAGACCTAGTCTAATGCAGACATATAATGGTTACAGGGAATATCAAAATACTTTAAAACTCAACTGCACAGTTCCTCAACTGCTCCTTGCTGGGCTGTTTAAGGCATTAAGGCATTGGGTGATTAAATATCTGGTATGATTAACTCTAATTTTAACTTCAATGAAATGTTTAGGTCCCATTTAGCCTATGCTTACAAAGTATTGAATCAAGGTTCTAATTTCCAACATTTTGTGACATGATTCTTCAGTTTTAGAATGTTTTCGGTATTTTCAAATACATCTTAAAGTATTCATTTGCTACATCTGAAATGATTTGTCTTGTAAACATGTATCAGAGTTACAACTAACATTCACTTAAAATTTAGTTTGACATCGGTTCTTGGAGTGCCAATATAAATCCGAACTGACTGTGTGTGTAGAGATGTTTGTGTGTGTTTAAAAAACAATCACAATTTGATTGTGAATTGTAGGTCTAAAATCATTTCTAAGAAATAATGAATTCAATTTTGACATCTAGCCAAAGTGGTTACATTTTTCAGAATCTCCATAGCCTTCTCTTAGCGAACTATAATTTCATGCTTTAGTTAGAGGTATACAAAATGAAACACTGATCTCTGAGCCCCTTAATTTTTTCCTTTCTTTTGAAAGTAATACAGGTATAACCATTTCAGCTGTTGACTTATTGGCTCCAATACATAATAAATGTGTACTACAGATCTAGAATCCTTATTTTTTAAAGTGCATGGTTTTGGCATAAGCACCAATGCCATTAGTTTAATAATTCAATGTCTGAGAAAGAACTTGTTTTGTGTTTAGTACCCTTAATATTCCTACTATATAAAGGGATCAATGGTAGATGTGGAAGTAAAATTTAGAATCAAAGACCTTAATTGATCAACCGGTCGACACACATTTAGTGACCTGTTATGTGCTCAGTGTTGGGATAAATCCTGTAGAAAATGTGAAATAAAGACAAGATATTGATGATTTCTGTCTTGGAAAAAGTTCTAACCTGGATAAGAAGATAATATTTAAGCATATGACTCCATGAGACAACCATACAGGATAAAATGTAATGAAAATTTGTTTGTTTGTTACAGAGTGTTAGATGTCAGAACAGAGAAATTACTATGGTCTGTAGTAAAGGGGTAAACATTATGGATTCAAGCCTTGCACTAAAAGAGGAAAGGATATGGACTAGGTAAGGCTTTGTTCTCTTCATGCTCTCTCTACAGGAACATCGCTGCATAAAACTTACAAGAAGTAAGTCACCATAGTAGGTCATATGACTTCTCTTCTCCAAGACTGAATCTAAACACAGTCATTATGGATACTGCCTACACATAAGATTCTCAAGGCCCAAGAAGCCTCTGTACCCCCATCCTCCCAAAAGATCCTGCCACTGGCCCCAGCTGAATCAAGCACACCATTCAACACTTGGGCCTTTTTGGAGACAAAGAAGAAAATGATCTTTAAAGTCATAAAAATTCTAGCCTAGTACTGATCTGGCACTTTCACTGTCATGATGTGACTCCGGACTGATAACTCAGTCTCAGTTTTCATGTTGTTAATAGGACTGATGATTAAATGATACTGCCAGGAACATGCATGCAGTATTGAGAAGAGTGTATGAACAGTCACATGATCATCAGATGTTAGCTACTCCAGTCACTGTCGTTAAAACATCGGTTAACCTGTGCACATTATCTGGACATTTCAGATTGTGCCATATACAATTACAAACATTCAATTGTTTTGACTTACAAAAATGACAATTATATATGATTCAATCTAATGATAGGACATTAGTCTACTTTCAGTCATTAACATAATTTCTCTAATCTTATGGTCAAATCAAAGAATGAAGGATCTCTTGTAATGCAAAGGAAGGAAATGAGAGGTAAGTTTTGATTTGGGGATGAAATAGAGGGAAATCCAGGTTTGGGAAGTTAGCTTTATTGTCACCTGTCATGGCGTCATTAGACAGAAAGTGAATGTCATTGCTGAGTACAGGGATTTGAACAAGGGATAGAAGAGGATGACAAATGAACTTAAACTATTAATTTTTTTTTTTTTTGAGACAGGGTCTTGCTCTATCACCCAGGCTGGAGTGCAATGATACCATATCGGCTCACTACAATCTCCTGCCTCAGCCTCGTGATAGCTGGGATTACAGGTGTGCGCCGTAACATCCGACTAATTTTTGTATTTTTAGTAGAGACGGGGTTTCACCATGTTGGCCAGGCTGGTCTTGAACTCCTGACCTCAAGTGATCTGCCTGCCTCCGCCTCCCAAGTGCTGGGATTACAGACATGAGCCACGGTGCCCGGCCCCTGCTGAATGCTTTTGAACGGGGAAGATCTGACTCTCTCTCGACTCCATCAACCCCCCTCATCACCAGGTGCATATAATTCTCTATTTGGGGGACACAACAGAAGTCAGTTGACTGCTAGGTTGAATGGTATCAGCCTTTGCAAGATAGCACAAATCTGGTAAAGGATCCAGGCAAGGGAAGAAACTATAGGTTTGTTTACTGTTTATGCTTTTAAATGTTCCCAGATAAAAACTTCCATTTGTCAATGACCCAGCAGGGAGTAAATGAAAATGCTTATTCAGACCCCTCAGCTGAGAGAGCTCCCTTAATCCGCTCACTGATGAGATAACGCTGTTGGATTACAATAATCAACTTGCAGTATGTCCTCTATTAGCGCTGAAAACTATAGCAGTTCATAAGCACTAGGAGACGTTTCTTCATTTACATAATATAGTGAAGGAATTTCACCCTTCTGAGACCATCCATTATCTCCCTATCCCTCCCTTGAAGTATTTCAAATAGATACAATTATATTGAGGGCCATTTAACAATCACATTTGTAAATGCCCAAACTTTAAAGAAAAGAGCGTTTATGTATATGTATGCAGTGCCCATCACTGACTTAAGTCACTAAATTATAAACATATCTAGATATTAACAGTGACATTAAGCTTCTCAGCTTCCTCTCAGAGTGAGAATTACAATGAAGTGTCTGTGAGACGGGTATGTAAATAGGGAAAGTAATAATGCACAGACTCTTCTTAAAATACTTTTGATATCACTATTAGTTTATGCAGTGACATTTTAAAGTTATTTCCCTCTATAGCCTTTCCTAGTTAGCCAAGGTAAGGTTCACTGACAAAGAGAGAAGGCACTTTCTCGTACACATTTTTTAAAAGTTGGTTAAAATTCACATTATGAAATTGCAAAAGTTTAGATAATTCATTCAAACTTGGCTCTTTTCCATGCACTTTTCTAAAGAAAATTTAAAGTGTCAAAAATACATATCTTGTGCTCATTATTAAATGCTAAATACCACAGTGTTTTGAGCTGCCTCGTGGCCATTGTAAAGCAAACAGGTGTTCTGATAGATTATAAAGTGTGAGTCAGATGATGTGTAGGACAGAATTTTAATGAAGCCGCAAGCACAGAACTCTGACTGGCCTCTTGAATATGATGCGAAAACCCTGAAAGTAGTCTTAAAGACAAAATAGCAGGAACACAACTCAGGAAGCATTCATTAATAATCAACAAGTAAATGGGATGTGGAAAATCATTATATTGAGGTGCTTTTGCATTTCAATGCAATTTAATATAGCATTAGCCTAGGCAGAAGGTGGGTATAATTTAAAAGGACATCCACGTCTTTGTATATATGCAAATATATAAAGAATGTGTCTTAATCGCCACATTAAGTTACTAGTCAAGAGCACAAGCAAAAGCTACAATTCTTCTAGGTGCAGAGATTCCATTAGAGATGGAAAAAGGCACACGAGCATGGCATCAAAGGATGATTATTAATTTCTTTAATTAGGTTTCTATTTAGAAACCTTCTGTGAAACCTAACTTTTCCACTCTTTGTTTTTCATTAAAATGTCTAGAGAGGTTACGAAAGTGAAAATACACTTGAGATTTTAGGCATGTGATGAAATCTATGCTGCAATCCAGAAGCATTTACAATGTCTGGAAGTAAAGACCATGTTTTAAATTAGATGATATCTGTCACTAACAAGTAAGAATTTGGTAGCTAGTGTCTTACAGAAATAGATTATATTCGATTGTCCTAAATATTTCCTTTTACATTTTTCCTGAATATTATATACGCAACAGTTTTGATACAAAAACTAGCATTTTGCTATGTTTTCTGGCACTTAGGCAATCACTGTCAAAAGAAATTTCTAAAAAAAAATCTGTGTCCTCAGGCTAATATTTTAGTTACTTCACAGCAAAGACTGGTAGAGAGTTCATCAAATAGACAGAACTTTTACATGCATAACATTTCCTTTGGCTAAATGAGTGTAATTAACAAGAAAACTGGAAATGAACTTACTTTCATTTGCCCCAAATATTTATAGATTAAACTAAATATTGCCCTATGAGCGTGGTGGCAGGTGCCTGTAGTCCCAGCTACTCAGGAGGCTGAGGCAGGAGAATGGCATGAACCCGGAGGGTGGAGCTTGCAGTGAGCCAAGATGGCACCACTGCACTCCAGTCTGGGCAACAGAGCAAGACTCCCTCTCAAAATATATATACACATATATACGTATATATGTGTATATATATACATATATATGTATATATATGTATATATATATTGCCCTATGATTCACTATCTTCTCTACCTATCTTCTTCAATTGACATTAAGCTCTTCGAGGACAAGGCTCTGAAGTCTTCTGCTTTGGTATCCCTAGGACTTAGCATAGGCCCTGGCTATTGGAACCCATTGGCAATGAAAAGGTGATCTACATTTCTAAACTATGTGTCTTTTCATTTAAAAATTATACAAACTCTGGATGAAACAACATTGTATTTAACCTATGAGATTCTTTGTCATATAAATATAAAACACTATTTTCTTATTATTTGCCTTGCAAAGACACTTACATATATACTCTACTTGCAGTCTACATGCTGTAGACAGTAGAAACATTGTAACTTTTCCAATTCTTTTTATGTCTATGTAGTCTGAAGCCTATATGGTTGTTAAGTTTCATGCTTAAATGTCATTGGCAAAGCGAATTTGCCAATGACATTATCTATCAGATTAAAAAGGAACTGTGTATCATATGGACAGGAGCAAAAATACCTTCACAACTCTCACTTTCGGTGTTTACCTTCATGAACTTGATGGCTCAGGTTTCCTTTCCATACATGCAGTTTACATTTCTTTTTTTGTTTGTTTGTTTGCTTTTGAGATGGAGTCTCGCTCTGTCACCCAGGCTGGAGTGCAATGGCTTGATCTCGGCTCACCGCAACCTCCGCCTCTCGGGTTCAAGCGATTCTCCTGCCTCAGCCTCCCAAGTAGCTGGAATTACAGGCACCCGCCACCATGCCAAGCTAATTTTTGTATTTTTAGTAGAGACAGGGTTTCACCATGTTGGTCAGGCTGGTCTCGAACTCCTGACCTCAGGTGATCCACCCCCCTCAGCCTCCCAAAGTGCTAGGATTACAGGTGTGAGCCACTCAACCTTTGCAAATATTGTTCCTTTGGTAGGCAATGCCCTCCCTCTGGCTTGCTGCCTGGGTAGGTTTGACCTGTCAGTCATTCAGGCCCTACACCTCTTCCAAGAAGCACTTGGGAAGCTTCCAGTGGGATCTCTCATTTCTCTGGAATCTCTAGAACTTATTTTCTAACAATTGCTTGCAAATTCTTACTTAATGGCAATGGGCATCATTTATTTTTATGAGGATCCTGGTATTTCTAACCAAGTTTCGAACCATGAAAGACATTTTTGTGTATTCTTCTGGGATGAACACGGTTACTAGGCAGAGCCCTATTAGTAACATGACTGTCATAGCCATGTCCTGAAATTAATATGACAGCAGAGAGCTTAGGAAGTGCTGACCCATTTATGGTCTCATTTACCTGACAATTCTAGGAAGGTGATGGGGCCGTGTTCATAACTGGCTGTTCACTTCCGTGTTTTCTCTGTAGTATGGTTGGCTCCTTAAGGGCAAAATAGGGATGGCATGTTTGTATTTCCAGTATTTTGAAAAGTAGGTAGTAAACATGGATTGATACTCAATGATAGCTTTTGCAATGAACAAAAGGGAATATTGCGATTCTGTAAGTTAAAATGTCCTATGCAAAGTCATGGGGCCACTGAGTTGAAGAGAGCAGGAACAACTTTGTACTGCGTGCTTTCTAGTGAAACACTCTGATCTATTCAGCACTGCAGCCTAACTCACTGGCAATCTGGGCATTGAAAGAAACAGCTAAGAGAAAAGAAGACTAAAGAGGAGACCCTACATAGATGCCTTATCATTCTTCCTTCCCAGAGATTAGAGCATTGATCTGACCACGGTGAGACCCAGGAGAATGGGGTCTTAGTCAGCAGGATGATGACTGCTCGCCAACTCGATAGCACAGCTAACAATAGGATGTCAGTGGAGGATAAACTGCTTTTCCTTCCATAGAAGTGGCTCCTCGATGTCTAGGGTGAGGTATTTTGAGAAACAGGAAAGCTTCTGCTGGATGGATATAGAGAAATCACAGAACATCACTGACTATGCCCCAGGCTAAGAATAAGTGCACTTCATTAGAGCAGATAATATGTGTGTTCAGTTCATCCTGTCAAGCGCACCTGCTCTAAAGTGGCTATTCCAGCGGATCCTGCAAATGGCATGTATACCAAAGACGGCACCACATGCCAAAACAAACATTTAGAAACATAAGTAATGAGGCTTCACAGAGGATCTACATATTTAAGTGTTTCCTACCAAACAGGCTCATAAGGCATTTATATGCCCATTATAAAACCGGGCACTTTAACTTCTAGGAGGCAGGCTTTACTTCGTTACTCCAGTTTCAGCGTGTATTTACTGTTTCCTTTTACCGAATTTTACTCTATTATTAAAATGATATTCTATATTTTATTGCCTCTGAACATCTCCAAATAAAACATATTTTAGTGCCCAAATAAGTGCAAGCAGATTTTAAAGAGGCCTTTTCAAAAACCCTCAGAAGGTCCCTGGGTCATATAAGTGACATGTTACTAAGGAAGATAAAAGAGAGCTCAAAGTAAACCATTATTCCTTGCTTTCTATCCAATTAAATTAAAGCCAACAAATAGCCTAAACCCCAATGGAATGAGAGTTACAGATTTTATCTCATGTCTATGAAAAATGAGACTTTGGGGAAACCTTTGTGTTTCAACTCTTCCACAATAAAATCATATCTTCAAACCAGTTACACTTAGTCCCATTTTCTTTCAAAATCCAATCCCCTATCACTCCTTTATTCGTGTACTAATCAATTATAATTTAAGGGCATTGACAACTAGAAGTACTCTGCGATTGCTCTTATCATCCCTGCTTCAAAGAAAGAAACGCTACTGCAACTTATCCATTTAAAAATTATAAAAGGAGGAAAAAAACACAAGAAAACTACTTCATAAAAATAGACACCAAAAAGGCTCAGACATAGGAAAAATTAAATTGCTTTCCATGGAGTTCCATAGGTAATTCTGACATTTGTGTCACTTGTGGGCAATGGATAAGCCATATTTTAAAAATAATTTTGTAATAAATCTGAGTTCTCTTCCAAACCTAAGAGGTGTAGTTAGGAGGCTAAACATAGTGCCAAAGAAACATCAGTAAAGAAAAATAAACATACAAAAGATGCTATTCCTTTTTTCCTTATTCAGAGGAACTGATAGCACCATGCTATAAATTCATTACAGCAAAAGATTCCACTACATCCCTCGGAGTGTAGGGATTGTAATCTGTATAATGTAAAATGAAAATTACGTTTTATTATGCACTGTCATGCACCTTAGCATCAGTGTTAGGGTGTTAATTTTAAATGAACTATTTGAAATAGTGCTGATGAAACTCAAATTTAAAAAGCAAGAATCAGAGTTACCCATTAACAGCTGTGTGGGCCATGCCAAATTCTTTTAGTGACTAAGGCATGTTACTCAATTTATACCTAAGATCTCTTATTGGTTACATCCAAGCACCAAAACATGCAATTTATATGCTGTTCTCAAATACTTTTCATGGATCTGTGTGTCATATTCCTTACATTACCTAGGCAATCCAGTAATGAATTCAAGGTGTTTTTTGAGTTTTTTAATAGTCAAATCTTATTGATATTCAACTGCTTTCAAATCTAGAGCTTCACAATCCAATTCTGACATTCCCTATGTGTTCAAACTATCCTTAAAACGGAACATCACACAACTCACATGCTCAGTATTTCTGCTTTGCTTTAAAATCCATGTGTTCTGCCTATAAAAGGCTGACAATGACTTTCTAAGACTGCTTCCACAAATAGCTTAAACTAAGAAATTCTACCTCAAATTTCATTTCTCTTGGGGAAATAAAGGTATTCCTTGTAATTTAGTGACACAAAATGAGGAATCTCACCTTAGTTGAACTGACTAAATGTGTGGTTGTAAATATATGGCAAGCATACCATCACTCCTTATTTTTATGCCCTTGACATACTTAATTGATCACCTCTCTTTCAACTTAGCTTAGGCTTGTTCTTGCAATGCTTATGGCACAGGCTACCAGGCATATCAGGCAGTCATGACCATTGACTGGAGCTTGTAATCACAATTCTTGTCCATTTATCTCATTCATGGAGAAGGAAACTGAGATTCAATAAGAAGTAAATTTCTCTCTGCCACAAACCTAGTTAATTGCAGGGCCCTTAAGATTGTATTTAAGTCAACTATTTGTATGACAAAAGAATGCAAATTTCTTCTATCCTGTAGGAATTGGTAGCAAACAAGCATTAAGGGTGATCAGTGCTTGGTAGTGGTTAGAATGAGGTTGGCTCTGTCCTAGGGAGGAGGAGGAATGTTCTGTGTTCCTGGCATCTCCATTTCAGAAGCAGCTGATCTCTACTCCTTCCTAAAGGCCTCACGTTTTACCTTCTCAGTGAAATTTTTTCTTACCCTATGAGCCTCTCCAAAATTAAAGACAATTTCTTTTACTCTGATTTCCCAGTCTTTTATCTGTCCTCCTTGGAGGACAATCAATGTCGTCTTTGTGCATGTTTTATCTCTTCTCTACTAGATTGTGATGAGTTAAGGACATGGAGCTATTCTTATTTATCTTTGAATTTATGCTAATTCCTTATTGCAGTGCTTTATGTATAGAAGGTATGTAATACATGTGGGATAAATGGCATAGGATAAAATGTAGAAGAAGAAAGGGATGGTGTTAAGAAGGAATTGATGCCATGTTCAAACAGGACCACACTTGTCTCCTTCCCCAAATCCATTTCTCTCTCTTTCTTTTATTTTTTTTTTATTATCTCACAGTGTACTTAATTTGAATCCATCTCATCACAAAATGACAAAAAGCTATGATTTAATATCTGTGTTTGGAAACATAGTGAGACTGAAGATTTTGCACATCATACACAACAAAACATCAGAAGTATTGCAATTGCAATTTAAGTGACGTAGATATAATCATAGGTGGAGTTCCCCAGTCCAAACAAACAAACAACAACAAAAAACTAAACTCAACTAAAATGTCAACTTTCTTTCTTTCCTCTCTCTTTCATTTTCTTTCTTCCTTTCCTTTCTCTTTCTTTCCTTCCTTCCTTCCTTTCTTTCTTTTCCTTCCTTCCTTCTTTCCTTTTCTTCTTTCTTTCTCCTTTCTTGATAAGCATTGATTTTTTTCTATAGTAACAGTTCGGGAAAATAATTACTGAGAAACACTTATGGTATAAAACAAACTGCTGATCCTCCACACTTATTTCCCTTTTCACTCGAAGTGTTCTTCCAAGAGCAATGGCATTTTCAAAGCGAATAAGGTGAGCTCTACAAATGGGTGCTCGCTTGCTTCAGTATAACTTGGAAATTCACTAGTAGCATCACAAAATGCCACCAAAATGGTCACAGACATTATTTCAGGAAAATTCATCTTAGTGGGAGCATGGCAAATTGCTTTAGAGATGTGACAAGCACAGTGTTGCACTTAGAAGACATAAGAGAAAGTCACTAACTTGAAAACTTCAGAGAGTAAATTAACTGCATGAATACAGCCACATTCCAAACCAAGCCAGTACATTTTATATTTCAGTATATTTAAAACAAACATCAGTCAAATTCAATTGAACGAATATTTATTGAGAGCCTATCTGTGCCAAGTGCTGTGCTAGGCTCCCGATGCAAATCTATATGACGGATGGAGATTTGCTTTTAAGAATTTAGTAGATAAAACATTGATAGTGAAAGACAGCCACATAAGATGATAGCTACATATCATTCTTTAGTTATCCTCACTTGTAGTTTAGGTTTAACTATGATATATTGTTCTATCATTGAATTTATCCCCACCATATGGGCTTGGGAGTCAAAAGAACTTAGGTCCAAAACCTGGCTATGCCACTTAATTGCTTTTAAACTTCCTTTGGTTATTCAGCATCCCTAAGCCCAGAAAGGGATAATAAATAATGGGAATAACTCCACTTAACAGCATTATTGTTAAAATTATGTGAGGCAATGCCTCTGAAATGCTTAGCGTGGGTCCTGGCACATGGTAAGTGCTCAGTCAATGTTCGCTCTTATTACTATTATCGCTAATAATAATGACCTCTTCTAGAGAAGTCTAGTGGCTTTAATTACCCATTAAACCTCAAATTATTAGATTCCTGAGTGTGTCATTGGTACAAATAAAAATATCACAACTGAGGTAAGAAATATAATTCCAAGAAATAATCGAACAAAAGTAAACGCATTAATTAAGTGTCGATTAAAGGCACCTACCTTAAAATTTGTACTTGAAATAAATCTGTAGAGCAAACGCAACTTTTCAAGTTAATCCAATAACTTTGGCATTTTGAATGTCCTCAATTATTTCAAGTGAAGCAAAACTATCTCTAAATAAATCTCCCATGTGAGGAAACTGATTCAACAGTGACTCAAGGGGAAATGCAGCATTGCTTCTCACCACAATTAGAAATTTTAATATATTTAATGTAAGGACAATTAGTCTACAGTCAATGGAGCTTACACAATCTGACAGTTATGGATAATCCCCTGAGGTAACAAAAATATAGACAAGAAGAATGACTTTTATTTGTCACAATGAGAAATAGCACACGCTAAAATATTAAAAGATCGCTGGGTGGGGTGGCTCACACCTACAATCCCAGTACTTTTGGAGGCTGAGGTGGGTGGATCACCTGAGGTCGGGAGTTTGAGACCAGCCTGGCCAACATGGTGAAACCCTGTGTCTACTAAAAATACAAAATTAGCCGGGCGTGGTGGCACATGTCTGTAATCCCAGCTACTTGGGAGGCTGAGGCAGGAGAATCACTTGAACCCGGGAGCAGAGGTTGCAGTGAGCTGTGATCACGCCATTGCACTCCAGCTGAGCGACAGAATGAGACTCTGTCTCAAAAAATGTATATTAAAAGATATGTCAGATATTAGGGAAAAATTGAGCTTGAGGTTCTAATTAATACACAATTTTGAGGGAGAGGGTTATGAGACCACTATTCTGTAAAACAGACAAAATTTTAAAAACCCTTCTACTATTACTTTGTCCTGTCTTTAAATTTGTGATAAATAACTCTTAACATTAGCTTATTTCTGTTGCACAGTGACAGGTTACAATGCAGTATACACCACCTTGCATGCATGCCTCACAGTGGCATTTGGGGGATGATAACATACATAGAAAAGATAGCTGAGATGCTCTTGTGTCCTGTCTATATTCTTTTTGTTTTTCCTTCAAAGACTGTGAATATGTGGAGCCATCAGGATCTGGTTTATAATTTAATTGAGCTGAGGTTTACACTCATAACTAAACTATAAAGTTAAAGTAATGAGTTTCAATCACAGGACTGTGGCGCATAGTTAAATTTACATAGATAATTAAAATCACCACCCCTACTGTCCTTTCTTTGTGCTTGGTGCTGTACTAGCAAGATAGCTGGATATTACCAGAATCCTTTTTCCATTAAACGGAGATGGAGGATAAAAAGGGGGTGTGTGGAGCTTTTTTAATGTCATTCACCAACCCCCTTTCAAAGCTGAAAATGCTTAAAGTGAAATATGTGTGAGCCAATTGTTTTTAAGTTTCAAGTGAAAATTATTCTGATAATTAAGGGACGTGTAACAAACTGGCTGGGTGCTTCAATAGATAGCATTACATCTGCCTTTCGTTTCCACATGTTCAGTGGGGTTTCCTTGGTAAACTTGAGTTGTATATCTTTATCTGCTGAGTCACAGAGCTCTTTCTGTGGGCAGTAATTTCTCATTCCGCTAATCATTTGTGAACTATTATTTAACTGTCAGAGTCCCATAGTGGAGTGACAAGTTCTAATTTTATAGTAGAAAGAAAAATAAAATCTACAGAGAAAGAACCTCTATGGATTTCATTAAAAAAAGAAAAAAGAAAGAAAACAAAACAAGAGGAAAAAGAAATTCACATTCCATGGTAATTCCTATGGTAATTGTTATTTATTGGCAAATCACTATACTAACCCATACACAGCAACCTGGTAATTGTTTTATTTTTTTATTTTAGTTTTCATTGAGCTCTGCAACAAAAGTTAGAGCTTAGCAACCTGATACAGTTTGACAGGGTTGAAGGGGGAAGCCATTATTACTCATGACACTAGTGCCACCATTTGCATGATGTCACTTGGCCCAGACCAGTGATGTGAAGCCTACATTCATCTCGAATTGAAGGTGTGTGGTGGTGACAGATATTTCTGAAAGTACTGCTTCAATCTGTGTCCTAATTTTTTTAGAAGTTGGAAATTTTATATAAAAGATATACTCTTCCATATAAATCTTAGGTATCTTTGCTAGATTGCGTGGCATTTTAAATACTTCATTAAATACTTCAGCCTTTGATATTGACAAAACACTATCCAAGAACGAGAAATCCTATTTTTAATGAATTGTGCCACAGAGAGTTGATTTTCTAACCCACGGCTAATGAGATGCTTCCTCTAAAAAGTTAAATAACTAAAATTACTTATGGGTAATACAGTTTAAAAATAAGATTGCATTTAAAATAATTTTTTCTTTTGATTCCTTGAGAGATAGCTACGATTCTATTTATCTGAAATCAAGGCATGTTTAACAAGATTACAATTGGTTTACCATTATAAAAGTTGATAGTTGCATTCTTAAGAAAAACATACAGAAATCCAATTACAAATTCAAAAAAATGCTTCTGGCTACTTGTTTGGTTTTAATAATATGTATTCATAATTAACTGACATTTTACATTAGAAAAGTTGTTTAAGTCTGTTGGGTAATTATGTGAATGAAGATGGAACTTTCACAAACAAATTAAATTGATTTATTTAATTTAGACACATTTAAAAAGTAGGTTCAAGATGATGGAAAATTTTCAAATCCAGAAACCCACTTCCAGAAATACCTCCAGATACTATACAGCAAATCTTCTATGTGTCATTCATGAATGATACTAAAAACAATCACTCATATTCGGCAACAAGAAATTAAACAAGAATTCAATGAAGTGAAACTGTTAAACTGAGAGTTTTAAAGAGTCACCCTTTTTCACAGTTGCTTACCTTAATAATGAGATTGGGCATCAGGAAATGGAATAGAAGTCAAGCAACCCTTAAGTGTCATTATATCAAATGAATTCTATGCCAGCAAATCAAATCTGACTTGATTGCTGAGTCTTATTTATTAAAAATATCTTTAAATATAACCTCAGACATCAGCCTATTTGTAACAGCAAGATAAGATACCAAATTATTTTCCTTTTCTAAAAAGTATTGACATGTGGTTTCTGATTTCTTTTTTTCCTGGTTTGCTCTGAAAACCAAGTTTCACAAAGTTAGTTGTAGTTAAAGCAGTTATCTCCCTGTTATTCATAGAGCCATCTTCTTAGAAGATTCTTTAAAGTGTTTGCATATAGAAAGAGTAGGTACAATTGCATGAAATTATTTGCACATTTCTCATTGTTCTGACCGTATAATAATTCAGTTATTGCATATGGGTTCTAAAAATACTTTGTTAGAACATCCATGTAAAATACTATATGCTAATGGAAAACACATGATGGAGCAAGTACTATATAAAAAGTTAGCATTTTTTTGGTACTTCCATCACAGCAAACCACTGCCATGCTGTTGTTTCTGTGCCTGGAAGGCTCTTCTCTTCATTTCCTTCCTGGTTAATTCCTACTAATGTTTTATGCCTGAGTTGAAATAACATTTTTTTTTTAATTAAACATGGGGTCTCACTATGTTACCCAGGCTTGCCTCAGATTCCTGGGCTCAAGCAGTTTTCCTACCTTAGCCTCTCAAAGTGCTTGGATTACAGGTGTGAACCACCATGCTCAGTCAAGCTTAAATAGCAATTCCGTAAGACAGACTTCCTTCATCCAAGGTCATGACAATTATGATCCCTTTAATATTTTCTTGTCATCCCCTTCATTTTCCTTCATACAATGTCACACTAGTAATTATACAACTTATGTGGGTTTTAAATTTATGCCTGCCTGTCCTAACTCCATGGAGGCAAAGCCTGTATCTATTTTATGTGTTGCTATATTCCCTTAGTAAATGGGTATTTTTCTGAAGAAATGAATGAATAGGTACTCAGTTTGTACCACTCCCACCTCCTGTTTACTTCATAAAATATCCAAACTCCATACAAATTGAGTATTTTAAAACAACAAGTTTACCTACATTTTTCAATTCTCCTATTTCCATTAGCTTTCATATAATAACTACAGTTCAGTGGACAAAACAATATTTTTCCTTGTATCCACATAAATCCCTTCTTTTTACTAAGGTCTCTGTGCTTTAAATATTTAAACTCTAAACAACTAAGTGGCAGCTAATACCTTCACACATTCTTCTGCTCTTGTGTGAAGCCTCAAAAAATAATATAAATGGAGGAATAATAACCATGAATATTATAAACATGTTTTGCATTTGACTAATTTGCACATGTTAAAGATTTGATGTAACTAATAATTCATCAGTCTTTTCCACATGCAAACCAAGAAAATGATAACATCGGTTTGAATATCAAACATAATGATACCGAGGCAGCTTTCAATCATTACTAAGAAAATGATAGCATCAGTTTGAATATCAAATACAATGGTACTGAGGCAGCGTTCAATCATCCATGTTAATGGAATAGATACAATCCATCCCCGCCAATAAACGCAAAGCCTCACTTTACCCCTGATTTGTTTTCCTCTTTAACCCATTATAAGATCTGATAAGAGGCAGAAAGAGGGAAACCACCACTTCCTTTTGTGCTTCTCCCCAGCTTTTTGAATGACGAAAACTCAAAAATAGTATACTGTCCTTTAGAAAAAAAGAGAAGGAAGCAATGAAGGAGAAGCAGGAGAAAGAAGAGAAGAGAAAGGAGTGATGAATGACTCACAAAAAGAAAAACAGGTCCCTAGATATTTCGTGGGGAATTATATTTTGGAAGACATTCTATACTACCTCTTGCGAGTAACAGGAAAAATAAAGCAGTAACATTACTTCTGGAACAAAACTAAAGACAGATCTAATCTCAATACTGTCGAGGGACATAACAAAGTTCAGTGAAGCTATCAGAATTTCACATACACTATCCCCAGCTGCAGAGCCACACAGCTCTTCCTGGTCTTCCACCTCCCAGTGGTTAAAGTAATATTTCTTCCAATGAGATGCATGTAATTTTTCATTATATGGTTTCAAATCAAGCTCTAGTCTTAGAAACAGAAAATCAACATTGTGAAGTATTATAGATTTTGCATGTCTAAACAGCTGTGATGAATTAGTCACAGTTACAATGAACTGTAGGAAAAATCCACAGGCAATACATTGCTTTTGCAAGTTTTATACTAAAGTAAAAGAAAACCCTCAAGTAATATTATATAATAAATTATTGTAACAGTGGTTGGTAGTAGGAGCAATTTAAATAAGATTAATTTAACAACCTTTAAATATCAATAAGTAATAAATATCTTCATGCATGGGGGTCCACGTTTCACTTTAGTTAGAAATAATGAATAATGCCAGTTGCCTAATATAACCCTAATAACAGAATAAGAATACTTGGCACTTTAACAATTTTCATTAGACGAGCTCAAGTATCACTTCCATTGGACAAAAACTGCATCTGTTCCATATTAGGCACGCAAAAAATAAGTTATATAAAGAAGTTCCCAAGTTAATTTTGCTTAAAAAAATGTAAAATGAATCCAAGCGGTAAACCAAATCCTGTGATCAAACTGACTGTCCCCATTTTTCCAGTGATCTGTTCCCAACTCTAATGGAAAGAAGTTGTCAAACATCAGATACATCTGGCTTTTATTTTTAAATTTATTTGTTTTAGTTTTTGAGACAGAGTGAGACTCTGTCGCCCAGGCTGGAGTACAGTGGCATGATCTCAGCTCACTGCAACCTCTGCCTCCTGGGCTCAAGTGATCCTCCCACTTCAGCCTTCCAAATAGCTTGGACTACAGGCATGGGCCACTGGGCCTGGCTAATTTTTGTATTTTTTGTAGAAATGGGTTTCTGCCGTGTTACCCAGACTGGTCTGGAACTCCTGGGCTCAAGCAATCCACCTGCCTCATTCTCTGAAAGTGCTGGGATTACAGGCATGAGCCAGCGTTCCCAGCCAATATCTGTTTTTTAACAGTGAGATTCTGGTGCCTCAGATAATTCATTATAGAGTTTTTAAAGTTATTTATTTCCAACCACCAAAAAAAAAAAAGGAAGACATTATTCTGACACATACATTTAGATTAACTTTCACATTGCCATCATCACCCTCATCTCCTTTCTCTTCCTTCCTTTTCTTCCTCTCTTCTTTTCTCTGCACTCTCCCGTACCATTTTTTATCCTCCTCCTTTCCAAACACTGCATTTCTACAAATGCACTGTCTAAGTTAAGCATTAGATTTGTTAAGTGAGAAAAAGGAGAGTGTATATACAGCATAATATTAATGGCTTTTCTTTATGTGCTTCCAATTTAAAAAAATATATAATGATTGTAAAGATTTTGCATTGTGGGATAGTGAATTATTTTTAACTCAATTGCTTACTGTATTTCCAAATTTTGCACAATAAAATGTATTACTTTGATTAGTAAAAAATAACAATATGGGCCAGGCGTGGTGGCTCATGCCCGTAATCCCAGCACTTTAGGAGGCCGAGTCGGGTGGATCACCTGAGGTCAAGAGTTTGAGACCAGCCTGACCAATATGTGAAACTCCATTTACTAAAAATACAAAAATTAGCCAGGCATGG
Source organism: Homo sapiens (assembly GCF_000001405.40). Lineage (NCBI taxonomy): Eukaryota > Metazoa > Chordata > Mammalia > Primates > Hominidae > Homo > Homo sapiens. Next base: position 167,502,982 of record NC_000005.10, on the reverse strand, counting down.
TGGCGTGCGCCTGTAGTCGCAGCTACCTGGGAAGCTGAGACAGGAGGATTGCTTGAACCCAGGAGACGGAAGTTGCAGTTGAGCAGTTCTCAAAAGCTGGTGTATACAGATTCTGGAAGGTTGTTAAAATTAGCAGACATTTTTATATATTTGGCTTTAGAATTGACACAGGAATATGCATTTTCAGCATGAATCCCCACCTGAAACTGACACAATTATCCCAGGACCACACTTTGTAAAAACAGTAGATCCCAAAGGGGCTGCAGTGATTTTGACTAAAATCAACCATTTAACCAGTATGTCTTTCTAACCTGATATTCTTAGACACCTTAGAAAGAAGAGAAATAACTTATCCATGCAAAATGTAGTGTCCTATTATAAGTAAATACTCCATTATAGATGGTGAAATATAAAAATAAGTTAGAAGGAGCTCAACACAGATTTGAAATAACCAAGCTTTTCTATATTGTTTACCCAATGAATATTAAAAGTTGTAGTTGAGTGAAATAGCAGTTAAAGAAAATGAGGCAAATAAACAGATTGGAAAAACTGTAATCTAAAAGTGGCATTTTACTTGTTTCTTGAGCATATATAATACATTTCTCTTTCATTAAATTGTTGCATGCTGTTTTCTTGCATCTATTCATTCTATTAGTTCCTGATTCATAATTTGGCTGCTTATAGTCCTAATTCTTAAACAAAAAAGAAGAAATAGGTCACTCAAGTTCATTCACTACAGGCTGCCCATGCACTCAGCTCAAATAAGTGAGTTGAATCCTTAATATGGCCACAGTGCATCCCACTATTGTTATCACAAACTCTATCCCGTCTTGAGTAAATATATGTATGCTGGCGATATTACAAGTGAAAAGTGGTCAGAGTTCATGTCAAAATGAAATATTTCTAGCACATCTTAGCCATGCCAAAACTATCTAGAGCAAGCAACATGACCTAGTACCTTTTTTTTTTTGTTATTTTTCATTTTTACTTCCAAGTTTCCCACTATCTTTTTCAAATGTTAAATTTAGAAAAATAGTTTCTTTTTAGGGTTGTGGCAATTATACAAATAATAGCAAAAGTTAGTTTTCTCTTGATATATTTCTACTTTACCTACCACCCCCTCTTTTACTTGTGCTTCTGTTGCAATAATTGATTACTTCAATAAATGTTAATTTCTAAGACTGCCACCAAAAAATAAGGTAGAGGGTATGGCAAAGTACAACTACCTACAGTGTCTCCAAATCTTCTAACTAAAGATTCAGGGACCAATTGAGGTAACAAGTCCTCACACTTTCTCAACCTGATTCAGGGCAACTAGAGAGTCCTTACTATTGCTCCTGATGGTTCAGTGGGTAATGTGAAAAGTGGCAGAGTTTGGGAGAAACAAGGAGATAAAAGAAGGATTTGGGGAATGGGGACAGGGAGGGAGAAGTCAGTACAGATCCATCACTAATAAGATGTAGATTGAGGCAACATTGTGAATGCATCTCTGCCAACATTACAATCAACATAAACAAGTCACCAAAGCATGAAAGGGTCACTCAAAATATGTGTCTTGTTGGGTGCCTTCTACTTGATATATATGGTGCTGGTTGCCACGGTAGAGAAGATATAAAGGTGAAGGACATGCTTCCTGTTTTCAAGTGCCCCACCCTGTAACCTGAAGAGAGGGCCATGCCCTCACTGACCATAACACCATTGGCAAGGCCAGCCCATGGAAATGCAGTGTAATGGGAACACAGGCCATGTGATTTGGATTGAGAGGAACAAGTAAATACCTGTAACGCAAAAAAGAAAATCAAAGGAAGTTCAGGTAGAAGGAGAATCTTGAACCAAGGCATCTGCGAATGGAAGAAAGCAGCATGTTTCAAGAAAGAAAGTATTTGTGTGACTGGTATTTGTAGCCTGCAAGTGGACTAAAAAGGCCAGAGGAAAACAAGAAACATAAATTGGGGCTGTTCCTGAAGGCCCACACTTGGTTATCACACTAAAGGAGTCTCAAATTTGTTCTTTAAAATCTTACTAAAGATTTTAAAGCTAAAGAGAAAAATGAGCAGTTGTGAGTCTTGGAGTCAAACTAAGGAGGACATTTAGTACTGGGGGCCACCGGTATTGTTCTTCCCTCTCCAAACAGCTTGCTAATTTCCCTTTGAGGAACTACCTCTCTTCCCTAGACCCAAAGTCCTTGGCCCTGGTGAATTCAAACACCTATTGCACCTCATCACACCTTTGGAGGATCCCATTTTCTTCCAGAACGTTCCTGTCATCTTCTAGATACAGCTAGAAACCAGGCAGAAAAGCAAGCTCATTCCATCACACACTGCCTACCTGGAATTGGGACTTCAGTCCAGTGATAGAGATGAAAATAAGGTAATTGCTCATTTTACCTGCAGCTCCCTTATCAGGCAGTTCTTCACCATCTCACGATTTTCTCCCTTTTCTGCTTCCTAATAATCTAGGTCACCTTGGTTCCTATCCATTTCTTTTTATTTTTTTAAAAATTTTGAGATATAATGGAGAAAATTTATTGACAATTAGCTACACTGCAGATTATGTTTTTAAGTTATACTGCACTGAGTGACAGCATACAGATCATGCCTTCATAATAATGAAGCATACTTGGTTTGGGGAAAAGGACATTCATATTTTAGGGTTATATTCACTGGATGGAAACTTCAAAGGCTGCAGGAATTATCAGACAGAACAGTTGTCAACTAAATACAAGATGGACCTGCTACAGACAACAAAGGCCCTTCAACTCTGCCACGTCTGCTCTCAGGCTTTGCACACTGGCAGATCTATTTCACACTCACAGTCACACACACTCCTATACCCACACACATACACACAATTCAGAATGCAGGCATTCATATATTTACACCCACATCTTGTAGAACACACACACTCACACACACACACACCCTCATATATATGTACAAACACACACACACACACCCTCACATACACATACACACACACATACACCCTCACATACACATACACACACACACCCTCACATACACGTACATACACACACACACCCTCACATACACATACACACACACACATATACACCCTCACATACACATATACACACACACACATATACCCTCACATACACATGCACACACACACATACACCCTCACATACACATGCACACACACACACACACTCCCTCACATACACTAACACACACAGACCCCTTGACTGAATCAAAGCGGAGCAAATACCTATGAACCAAGTGTGTCTACCTTAGCATGCATTTCATATCTATGGGAGAGTCACGACATCCATCTCTGTTAATGTACAATAGTGGGTAGCTCTCAGGACAACCAGCCTTGGATACATCTTTTAATTCTGATTGTCTTCTTCCATGGGAATTTTAAACATGCCCCAAATTAGTGAGGACAGAAAATGAACTCAAATGTACCCATCATCCAGCTACAAAACTCATCAACTCATGACTATTCTGGTTTCTTTTATAATCCTATCTACCCCCACCCTACAATGGAGCAACTTCTAGAAAAAGCATCATTTTAGTCATAAATATTTCAGTATGCATCTCTAAAACAGAAGGACTTTTTTTGGGAAACATTCCCCATGCCCATTTTTAGCACTGGTGCTATAGCCTGCCTAGTGATTCTCTGAGCTCCCACTCTCCTTCCACTAAGTTCCCCTTTGCTCAACTTCTCCAGAGTTTTCTACGCTGCTTGCAACCTTGGAAGGATACCTGATACAGTACATGGAAAAAGTCCTTTATGGTGGGGCAATAAAGGATACTTTCTAAGAGAATGCTAAGAATACAAGGACATATCACAGCAGTAGAAAAAGGTCCCACGGGACACAGAGGAAGGGACCAGAAGTTGCATTGGGATGAAGCTAGGTGTGAAAGGGGATGAGCTCAACTGAGGGAAGGAAGAGAGTGCAAGAAAAAGCACATGGAAACAACGTCACTAGATTCTAGTAGCTATGGCATATTTTGGTATATGTTACAATTTTTTTAAATGCTAAATCTTATCACAACCATTGTAAATGCAGTTCTTAACCTTGGTTCTGTAACAAAATACAAGCAATTGTACATGTTTTTATAAGATAATTCCCCTATACAGAGAATATCGTCATCATCTCAGTAATCCGCTCCCACACGCATCATCCTCTCCTGAAATAAAAAAGAGGAAAGTGGTGAGACATTTGAAAATTTGAAATAAAATTTTAAAAATAAGCATGAAAAGTGTATTTTTTTTTCTTAATTCATGTTTTGTCATCATCCTTGAGAGAGCCAAAAGGATGCATCTTGTGTGATGCCGCACGGGGTGGGGGCTCTCTGTTCAGTGCTGGAGTGCAAGCTCAAGGAGAAACTGTTTTGTTTATCTCCTGTATCTGCTGGCATCTGTGCCCAGGATGTGTGAATGTACACCTGTGCAGAACAAAACGTTTAGACCAGAGGGTCAGGGTCGATGCCTCAAGTAGAGGGATGAGACCTTTTTGGTTGAGCAGGGTCATCCCTGAAATATTTACTTCCCCTGGCAATGTCATACCTTCTTGGAAGTTATGTCAGAAAATATTAAATCCTGAGAATCTGAGCATAGTAGGCACAGGGCAAGAAGGAAGCATGATCATTGACGTAAGAATTCATTCACTAGACAGGTCTCCAATCAGTCTACAAATCAAGACAATGTCTGGAGAGCAGAGAAAGGAAACACTAAACCCAATTCTTTCTAAGAGTTCCCGGCGCCTCTGCATCCTGTGAACAGAGCTAGATAGCAAAAAAGAAGAGCAGATGGCACAGACGACAATGTAATCCTAGAAACACAGAGGTCTTCTTTCAACATTAAAAGCATGCTGCTCATTAGGACAACAAACTCACCCCCTCCCTGCCCTGCAGAAGAGTAGATATTTGTAATTTGCAACTGGTCAGAGCCAAGAGGCCAACTCATACTCTTTGGTCAGTCCCCACAAAGAGCTTCTCGACATAATTCTGAGGCGATTAGGATCCAATGATGTGAAAAATAGTTTTGATTAGAGGTGTACCAGATGGATAGATATCAGAAGCGAGCGAGGAAGTACCATATTACAAGGATAGATGCTATTTCTGTGATAATGAATAGACTGTTCAAACTTTGGTCCTCCACGTTCATTCTCGGAGGGGACAACCGGCATTCGGAAACATTTAATTACTAAGTCGCCTTTTCCCAAGTCATTCACCCTATGGGTACCCAATAAATATTAATTAAGGATGATGATAAAGGGCAGTTCCTTCTGGGGTGAAACAAGTTTGCTGTTTAGCAGTGCGATACCTACCCTTATATAGCTCCACAGGTAGAGGAGTAAGGCACAACGATTTTTTCTAATTGAAACTGCGGGGGGTCTTTAGGTAACAGAATGTTATTACCTAACCTGGAATTTGGCCAGAGCAATGGGGTGTATGCCTCCTGTTTTCAAACAGAAGGCCATGATTGTTCAAAAGCAGATCTTCAATCCACATTGACATTAAGTGACAAAACTGACCAGGGTGAATGTCGAGTCATCAAAGGTAAATGATTGCGCTGCCACGGCAATGCATTATTGAGGTACCTTAGAAAGGATCTATGTTGTCAGAGAACATCTTTTTAGAATAATTCATGAAAAGAGTCTGAGAAATTAAACGCTGCTGCCAGCCAGCTAGCTTTCCTGTTCTGTTTCTTTATTCTGAAAAGTTGCTCTATATTGGAAGTATCAGCAGTTATTTGGTACCAGGAGGGAAGAAAGTGAGGAGCAGGTAGCATTCTTCCCCTCCTAAATGTCCTGTTAGGACTGGTTTGCAATTCACGCATCTTCTTCACCTGGGGAAGTTTTAGCACACTTGGTTTTATTATCTTAGTCACTCTGATCTTTTAATATCATAACATGGTCCTCCATTTAGCCAGAGAAAAACATTCTGACAGGATAAACCAGTACCATTTCTGATCTTACTCTTCTTCAGATATGCGACCACCTAGAATGATTAAAATGAAAATGTCTAGTGATTCTAATTATGCAAATACTTTTGATAGAATCTTCAAATTTAAATTTTACACTGTCCTTGTTTTTAAACCTGCAACTGATGTGCTTATGTGCTTATTTTATTTTGTAAGTCTCTCTAGCAGTGCTGATGTAAAATGCTCCATTTTTGAGGACTATGAAGGGAAAAAAAATCAAATCTACAGATGGCTAGCATCCCCGGTTCTACAGTGTTAACATGTACAATAATACACATCCCTAATTGAATACAAGAATGTAACTCAATGGAGGGTCTGTGCTAACATCATCAACCATGACAGTGCAGACCGAGCAATTAATAAATAGCAATAACATCTCTCAATTGAATTCTATCAGAAAGCGGCATTGTAATGGAGGTTTCTGCAGTATACTTTTCATGAATTACACCTGCTAATAAAAGAAAAGTGGATACCCTTCTAAAATCATGTAACAGCCATTAATTTTTAATATGTACCACTAAAGCAAGAAACAACAACAAATAAAAGGAGGACATGTAATGGAGAAAGAGAAAAGGATTACTAACTGATTGTTGTTGTTCAGGAGGAGTTTTAGTCTCTGTGACATTGAGTTTCTCTTAACAAAATCCATCCGAACCTACAGATCCTCTCAGTGTCATTTTAAAAATCGAAGTAAACATCAGAGTTGAAAGAAGTAATGCAAAGAGACAGGGCAATCTTCTAAAGCTACCAGGCATTTCTTCCTGCTGCTGATAAACATATCCTTGAAAAGTTCGGGGAACTAAATGAGGAAGGAAAATTTTGCGAATAATTCAAGCAATGGACTGAAATGAATCACATCCAAATTACAACACTACCCTGGAAGTACCATTTTCTGCCCTAACTTCATTTCTAAAAGGATTGTCCTAGTTCTGTTTTAAAATCTATTCCAATTGATTTAGAGTTCAAGATCATATATATTTGTGGCTGCCTTTCCTTTGCTTGCACTAGGAATTTTCTTCATTCTGGTTTTGTATATGGTAGAGGAAAGCATGAGAGAATCTGTAATACTTTGCAACATCTTAAAATCACCATAAAATTAAGTGTGGCTTCAAAGTCATGAGAATCAGTTTTTAACCAATGACATAATTTCTTGAGCTGCAAAATATTTTATACTGACTATATAATGTTAGAGTAATTTAAAACATTTAAACCTTTATTGACTGCAATTGTAAAATGACTGTTCAGATTAAAGTCTTTTTGTTTTCTTTTGTTTTTAGGTAGCACACCATGAACGCTAATTAAAATTAACCTGAACAAGACAAATTTTACTGCAGAGATACTGGTCCTCTAAAAAAATCCACACAAGAGAAGAACAATCCGGATCTCAGAAATCACAGAAATCAAGACACCACTATAGTATATTGCCAGCAATTATTCGGCACTTCCTTAATATGCATTATTTCCCAATGCCCATTACCCACATTTGCAGAAGAAAATCTGCTAGAATTTGCAAAATCCAGCTTGGATCATGTATCTTGCTCCTGCTGTAATTATTCATGGCTGGGCTGGAGGTTGGGTCATAAAAGACACCTCACTACTCTTGTTCAACCCTTGTGATCTTTTGACTGGAGACTATGTTGAAGAAGGGGTTGCCACTGTAGGCTGAGGAAACAGCCCCAAAGAATTTTCAAGCATAATTCCCATTTTGCTGTTGCCAAATTTGTGTCCATGTTTGTATTAATTCTGGTTGTCTATAGTCTCAATATGCAAAAAAAAAAAACAAAAAACAAAACAAAAAAAACATTAAAGGAACTTTACATTACTTTGGGTCTTAAAAGGAAACAGTATGATTTCTTACTAGTTTATTTAACTACAAGTTTGCATTAGGTTACAAAACCGATGGTGGCATTTGCAAATTTTGATCTTGAGGCCTTCTCCACAAATGTGTGTGGTGTTCATTTTAAATTATTACAATAAAAACTTTATATTAAAAAGTTCCACCATTAGAAAGATTGTATATCATCTAAATACATTCATTTGCCTTTGTGAATTGAAAATGCCATCTAACTACAGTTCATAAATTTTAGAGGCCGTATATTAAAATTATTCATAATAGTCTAAATGAAATCTTAAAAATATGAATTATTGCAGTTGGTTGAATATATTAGGTTTTTCTTATCCTAGTGTTTTTATCTGGGGTCATCTGTTCAGTCCAACTTCAAGTCTTGCTCATAACAGACTAAGGTAGACAGTTAGAAAAATGGCATAATTGGATTTTTAAAAAGAATATTCTATTTTTCTAACAAAGGATAGAGAAAACACATTTACAGCTATTTCTTTAAACTTTTACTTCACTTGAAATTATAGTCCTTTTCATGTGGTGGCTTCAAACATGTTTGTTTCATACTTGATTGTATATGTAACTCTTTTTTTCCTATTTCTCCTACTAATCTTCTTGCATTGGACTGGACACATAGGATCAGTGATTGTCGAATGAATGAATGAGTGAATGGACGAATGAGCAAGCAATTCTATAATATCACGCATAAGTATTGAAACAGTTTTCTAACTGCCCTTGGGTTGACTTTTTAAACATTTGATTATATTACCTCCTTGCTCAAAAGACCTTTTAGCAACTCCCTATTGTCTACTGACAAAGTTCTTTGTCCTCAAGCTAGAAATTTTAAACCTTTCAACCCTTTAGGTAAGTTTTTTTTTACACCTTTTCTTCTATCAGTTAATTGTTATATCTTCTGCAAGAAGTGTGCTTATTATCTTTGTTACTATTGTTGCTGTCTTCCATTTGATGGTGATAGCGGTCATCTTGTGTTCTCCATCTGAAGTTCCACATGAGAATGCTCTCTTGCATTTCCAGTACTGTTTCCACTGGCTGTCACATACTCCTTAAGTACTAGCTAAGTGAATTGAGTAACGGATGGATCATTAAATTCTACCCATCCTTCAAGAATCAACTCTAATATTATTTTTCCCCATGAGGGCTACCTTAATGATTCCATCTGGAAATTGTCTTTCCTCCCTCTAAATTTCTTTTCATCACCCAAGTATACGATCATATCATCCCCTTAGCCAGGTGGGTCCTGACCGCACATGCTACACCCATGCCACTCTTTATGCCTACCACCCTATTTTATATTGTTTATGTGTTTGTTTGCCATTCCTTTTTCCAACACAACATCACGTCAACTCCCTGAAGCCAAATACTCCTTCTTTCCTGTTATAGATATATGAACATATATGCCGAATAAATGAGTGGACCCCTACAGAAACGTGTGTATATATTATCTCCTACCTTGGATTCTAGATACGGATGTTCAGTACTTTCTCACTGACTAAATTCTTATGAACTAAGATATCATGTAATTCACCTTCAATCCTCCATATCTCAGTACTTTCATTCATTCACTGTTAATAGTAATCATAGCAAATATTTATTGAGTGCTTACTTGATGCCAATAATGGGGCTATGGTTATTCAATTCTATGTTTTATTTGATACCCACAAAAATTCTATGAGCCAAAACTATGACTACTTCCATTTTTATATGAATCAATGAAGCCTTCAGAGAAATTTAGTCATTTGCATAACATCACAATAAATTAAATGCTAAGGCCAGGGATGAACTCAGGCATATTAAGCTCCATGGTCCATGCTCATAATAAATATGGCCTGATGGTGTTTCTCATTGTGCCAATAAAGGTTTCTGTTCTTTTTTTTCTTTTCTTTTTAGAGACAGGGTCTTACTCTCTCACCCAGGCTGGAGTACAGTGGCAAGATCATAGCTTACCGCATCCTTGAACTCCTGGGCTCAAGGAATCCTTCTGCTTTGGCCTTCTAAAGTGCTGGATTACACGTGTGGGCCACCAAAGGTTTCTTGAATGAATGATTCAATGAATATGAACCTATCAGGGTAAAAAAATCTAACTTTTATTTATGAATAAGAATCACAGAATCCCACAGCAGGAAGGGTTCCTAACAATTACCTTACCTAATCCATGCTCAAACTCTATTCTTCAAATGCATCTCCTCTATGATTTCCTGGCTGACATTTTGCCAAGCTTCTGCTTGGAAATCCTTAAAGTAGCTGATTTTGTCCAGCAGTATACCTTAGCATTGTAGACTGGTTCTGAATTTCAGGGTGAGCCATTCCTTTTTATAATCAATCAAAATCTGCCTTCCTGAACATTCCATTCACACATCTATTTCTATTCCCTATCATGGCACAAGATACATGTAACCTCTTCCTCACATTGGCCACCACCATGTCACCATTGAGCCTGCTCTTCTATAGGTTGTGTCCCCAGGTTTTTTGAATGCCTTTTTGTTTTACTCTTGCATGGCACCAGGCATAGCACAATGGAAATATGTAAAGCATTGTACAAAGTATTAAAAATTGCCATATAAATTTTATAAATAGCCATGTAAATTCTATAAAATAGCCATATAAATTCTATAAAACTACAGAAGCCTAAATATAAAAGAAATTGTTTGCTCACAACCTCCTTAATAACATTGTGTATTATTTAATGAATGCTAACATCCATTGATTCTTCGTGGAAAGTCTGTACTCAGCCCATCGCATGCATTATCTTATTGTATCCTTGCCAGATGCCATGGCATAGGTGCTATTATTAATAATTTTAATAATGTCATTGTATAGACCATGAAACTGAGTCCCAAATAGGGTTATGCCCTCCTCAAGGACATTCAAGTAGCAAGCAGGAATGATGAGAATGATAATATCTCTCTTAGTCCAAAGCCTGTGCCCTTAACCACTACCCTATACTGCCTCATAAATTAAGAAGTACCTCTATAAAAACAGACATTTACTAAGTATGTAATGTAATTTAAATTCCAACTATTTCTATAACTTTATATGATATAAATGCTTTTCTGCTTATCTCAACAACTTCTCTCTTGCTCAACATAGAGCAATAAGTTTTACATTGAAGAAACTCTTTTAACCTTTAAAATACTAATAATGCAATAGTTATAAAATTGAAAAAGCGTTCCTCTTTCCATTGCTCTCCTTTTATTTACATCTTTTCAATCTGAGTTTATTCTGCTTTGTTAGGGCAGCAATTATCCGAGATAATATTGCCATGGCTATTATGTGACACCTAGAGATTCCAAGTATTTTGTTCATTCGCTTGATGACTTTTGACCTGTTGGTATTTTTTAGATCACGTAGTTGGTTGTATGTGGGTGGGCAAGGGAGTAAAGGGATGAATGTACAGGTGAATGGCTGTACACATTTAATTGGGACTTTTAATAGAACACCTTGTGGACTGTTCAAACAAGAGAGTGGAGAGCTGGGTATCCTTGACAACAGTGTAGGTATATAGCAAAACAAAAGAAAGACCAGAAGATTCACAGTAGGAGATCTAAGCAATAGTTCATTGGGTAACAGCGGACAACCTTTTGGTGAAAGCCTCAAAAATTTTCCAATGTGTTTGTGAAATGTACTGTGGACAGTGGGTCATTAGAACATTTGAACAAAGGGCATTAATAATTGGCATAGTGGCTGGTGGATCACTATAAAAACTGATGTTGAGTGTTAAATTTTCTGTTACAGATGGAAAGAATGATCAGTGAATAAAGTTAAGAACAAGCTTTTAGCACCAATTAACTGGATATCATAGGGCTGACTTCCCCATAGGAAAAAATAAGGTAAAAAGATTTATTCTATTTATTTCACAGGTAATTGGAAGCAGTGCTCAGATCAGTTGTGGAATACTGTATGGCTTCATACGACATTAAAATGGATTTCTTAACAATCATGTGTGAAATCTAACAATACTAGATATTTATTGTTTGCCTCCATCGTGTGCCTAACTTACTCCAGTAATGGTTCACAATTTTAATTCAGAGATATACTTTCTACCAATCTCAGTACATGAGATTCCATCTGTCTGAGAGAGTGGACACTTGCCTCTGGAAAAGGCCAATCATCATAGCTTATTCCTTGTGTCACTGTGATTGATTCCTAGACAAATACATGACCCATGCGATTTTTACTAGAAGCTGTTTTTACCATCCTGAAGATTCTGATAAATGAAGTCAACATACAGAGCTGAGAAACGTAGAGTTGTCAAAGCTTAAGGACAACTTTGGATTCCTGAACTTAACTACCTTACCTTGGGACTTATCCCATCACATTAATTCATTACCATTGACAGTTAAGGAAGTTGAGTTAGACTTTTTGTCACTTGCAGTAGAGAGGCTTAACTAATAAATCAATAAATAACTTGAATTTAATTAATCTTGGTTAAAAAGTCATGTTTGTCCTGTTTTCTATATCAATGTTAACTCAAATATTTATGATAATGCAATTATTTTGTGGCATAATGTCTACTAATTTTAGAAAAATTATCAATAATATGAGAGATATTTTAAGACATGTGGGTATAAATTATTGCTTCCTTCCAGAGATCTGTGTACCATATATAAAACAGACTATATTAATTCATCAAAAATGCATTATACAATAAAAATCCTGGAATGCAATATACAAGCGCATCTCATGAAAGAAGACATGCAAATGACAAATGAGGAGAGAGATATTCAACTAAGAAAAACGGCAAATCAAAACATTATTAGATGGAGTTAGTAGTAACATATTGATATTAATATCTCTGTTTTGAGAAATGTACAAAGATTATATAAGATGTTAAAAATAAGGAAGACTCTTCTGTCTTTGCAATTTTTATAAATCTAAAGTTATTTTGAAATAAAAAGTTTATTTAAAAAAACTTATTATATGCATTGTGTGGATCAAGTTGACAAGAATTTAATAACAATATAAAGTGTGGCTCAGTGTGCTGGGAAAAGGGTACTTTTGTAACTGCGGTGGTTGAGAAAATGAATGCTAACTCTCCAGAGGTTAATTTGGGAATATATATCTAAATCTGTAGAATCAGCATATGCTTTGGTTCAAATTTACCTCTTGCAGAAAAGTAATGCTAAGATAATAATCTGAAGGTTGTACAAATATTTATGTAGGTGGATATTTATGTAGGTAGTAGTCTTTATATTAGTTAATAATTGAAGTTATGTACATATCCAGTAATAGGGAGCTAATAAATTATGGAATATTAATATTATTGAAATGGAATATTATTGTACCAGAAACAATCATGCTATCAGAGGTCAGATACCTAACAAAATAAGAACTTTCTCAGGTATTACTAAGTTGTAAAAATCATGTCAACATAACATATATAGTATAATGGCAATCATATTATTCATTCACTTACGAAAAGCATGTATATCCAGTACATACTGTGCTTAGCACTGAGGATATAGACATCAGTGAACAAAATGCATAAAAATCCCAGCCTTAATGAAGCATATAGTCTAGAATAAAATTACAGCAGTAAACTAGCATACTGTAGAGTATCTTAGAAGGTGCTAAGTGACATCAAATATAAATAAATAAATAAAGCAAGGCAGGAGATAGGGAGGGAGAGAATGCTGAAGGGCAGTGTTGCCATTGTAAATATGTTGGTCAGAAACACTCCCTGACAAAGTGATTCTTGAGCAGAGGTCTGAAGATAGTGTGGGAGTGAACCTTGTGGCTTTCTGGGGAGTGAGTAATCCAGAAAGAGAGAACAGAAAGTAACATAGGATTGGAGATGATGACATGCCTGGGGATGTCTAGAACCAGCAAGGGGGCCAGTATACTACATCACAGAAGGAATGGGAAAGAAGAGTGAAAGGTCAGTAGAGCCAGATTGCATAGGTCATTGTAAGGCATTAGACCCTTACTTTGAGTGCAACAGAGTGCCATTGCAAGGATTTGAAATAAAGGTCAACATGGTTTGATTTATCTTTTAAAAGGATTGTTCTGGCTGCCATTTTTAAGAACAAAGATTGTAAGGGCAAGAATCAAAGTAGGACAACCTGCTAAGAAAGCCAATGCGATGACCCAGGGGGAGTGATGGTGGTGGCTTCGACCAGAGTTAGAGCAGTGGACGTGGCAGCGGTAGTTAGGTTACTGAAATATTTCTAAAACATAATAACGGAGAGAATTGGATATGAAGTGGTGGCAGGCAGACAGGGCACAAATCAAGGACCACTCTAAGAATTTGACCTGACAAAATGAAGGATGAAGTAACCATTAACTGAGATTGGGAAGGCTATAGCTAGGACCACTTGAGAGGTAAGACCAGGAATTCCATTTTGAACATGTCAAGGTTGGGATATTTATTAGACTTCCAACTGGACATACTAAGTAAGCAGCTGAATATTTAAGTCTGGAGATCAGGGAAATCTCATGTAAAGTTGAGTCTCATAAAAATAGAACTATAAACTGGATGAGATCACTTTGGATGTGGTGGGGGTAGAAGGGGGCGGGGTGCAGGATTTCATAGAGTGAAGTGTCTGAAGAGTGAGACTTGGTGAGCTCCAGCACTAAGAGGTCAAAGACAAGAAAAGAAATAGCAAAGGAGACTGAAGAACAGTAGTTAATGAGTCACGAGCAAAACCATCCTGGAAGGCCAGGGAATGAAATATTTCAAGAAGGAGGGAGTGATTGGCTGGGTCAAATGCTGCTTATAGGTCCAGTAAGATGAGACTAAGAATAGGCAATTGGATTTAGCAATATGGGAGTAATTAATAACCTTGATAAAGTCTTTTTGGTGGAATGGTGGAAGGGTGGGTTCTAAAGCTTTACTGGAGTGTGTTTCAAGAGACAGTGAATGTAGACAATGATTTCAAGACATTGTTCTATAAAGAAAAGGGAAGAGTTAGGGTCATTTTTAGCAGAGAAAGTGGGATCAAGAATCGATTTTTTAAAAAATAATATGCAATAGAGCAGTACACACTATGCTTACAGTTAAGATCCAAGAAAGACAGAATAATTTATGATGAAGGAGAGAAACAGTAGAATTCCTGGAGAGACATATTAGAGCAGGAGAAAGAGTGTTATGTGATCTAATACTCAGTTCTTATTGATGTGGGTGCAATTCTATCTACCTGTTCAAATATTACCTGAGGATACTGTGGGGTTTCAGGTAATCTCCATTTTCTCTATTTTTCAAAACATTTTTTACAATAATTTTATAAATTATACCTTCTATGACCAGAAAATATGAGGTTAACAATTTGTGAGAAAGCAAGAAACATTCCTTTAAATTTTGCATTATATACTGACAAAATAAATACAGAAAGAAAAAGATTGAACTCAAAATTGGCAACCCAGACTTGGGAGCAGTATTCCACCTGAAGTTTGCAAGAATGACAATACTAGGAAATGATCCTGAGCTTTTGTCTCACATTTTTACATTTAACATAGCTCTTTATTTGATACTTAACCAGCCAAAAGATTTAACAGAATTGAATTAATTAGTGAAAGTAGATATTCCATTAGTTAATTACAATGAAAGACCAAAAACCCAAACCCAGAAACCTTTGAGAGCTGGCTGAAAAGACATCAGACCACATTCATACACAGAAAGTTCACTAACAAATACACATATACACTAAACACACACGTAGCATGTGCATAAACATAAACATGCATATAAAAGACACACACAAAAACACATATATATAAACACATAAATACAAACATACATATACAAGCATACACACACAAATACATGTAAACAAATGCACAAGAAAACACATACGGGCACATACTCACTCATATACACACACACACATGCAAATCTATCTAGTTCTGGTTTAGATTAAAGGCCTTTTGTTGTCTCCAGTGCTTCCTCTTCCCACAGATAATTTCCCTGATGATTGTGCAAATTCAGATATCATCCTGGATAACCAAAATTGTCAGACAACTCCCTAAAGTGACACAAATACCCAGGCCCCAAACCAAAGATAACTAGAATTGGACTAGATTATGGCCTGCGTCCTCAAAGAAAATCTCCACAGACCACTATACCGCACCATTATGTAAAACAAGATGCCTTCAGATCCGCCTATCAGAAGTCTAATCCATCTCATATGTTATTCTGTTCCCCCACTGAGATAGGACAACAAACAATCTCTTGATATTTATGTATGTACATATGTACATTTTTGCTGTACTTTTACATAAAACCTTAATTAAGCCTAGATGTGAAACATAATTGCTCACTTGATTTTTTTCTCCCTACCCATTTTATATCATAGAAAATATAAACAAGTGTCCATGGAACACAGATTTGGTCCTTCGATTAAAGCTCATCTTTCCAGAGCAAGCATGTAGTGATGGGGTTGTCACCTCCAATCTGTACAGGTTCCTCAACCAAATGCCATGCAGTAGTTGAGTAACAGAGAAAAAAAAATCATTACATTGCATTATTTCATCTAGTGATGTATTCTTTAGGCATATATCAGTGCACTAGTAACTTGTATTAGATATTATTTAAGAAATGGCAGGCCGGGCACGGTGGCTAACGCCTGTAATCCCAGCACTTTGGGAGGCAGAGGCAGACAGATCACAAGGTCAGGAGATTGAGACCATCCTGGCTAACACGGTGAAGCCCTGTCTCTACTAAAAACACAAAAAATTAGCTGGGCGTGGTGGCAGGTGCCTGTAGTCCCAGCTACTCGGGAGGCTGAGGCAGGAGAATGGCGTGAACCCGGGAGGCAGAGCTTGCAGCAAGCCGAGATGGCGCCACTGCACTCCAGCCTGGGCGACAGAGTGAGACTCTGTCTCAAAAGAAAAAAAAAAAAAAAGAAAAGAAAAAGAAATGGCAAAAATAATAACTATTATTATTGTCAGACTGTTGTCTCCCTGAGGGCAGGAGCAAAGTTCTATTGTTTTATTTATATCCCCAACACAAGCACCACTTCTGGAGTATGGCAGATGTTCTATGTATGCTTATGTTTATTCAATCTTTGAGTAAAATCTTTACTTTTATTTTGCAGTACGTTGGAACAGGCTCTCTGTGAAATCATTTTGAAAATAAGATATGCTTCCATAATTTTTTTTTTCTCAGAAACTTGGAGAATACCTTACAGAAAAGACTACTAAGGGGAGGTATTTCTACTAGACACTGGGAAAAGTTCTAATACGAACATGTGGTTACAAGTGTGTATGTATAATTTGTGTGTGTGTGCACATAGATGAAGGCAGGAGGCCCTATCGAGTTCCATATATGTGTGCATATATGCATACCTAGGTTTGTATAGGTTTTCAGTGACAATACTTTTCTACATTAAAACAGAACAGCATCTTGATTCAGAAGTCAGCTTTATTCAGCCAAACAGGTACCGAGATACAAAATGTGAACCCTCTGCCATCCTCCATTGGCTCTTGTCTTTCCCCTGCAACTTGTCGGGGTATTTAGGCATTTGGCGTCATAGTGGCAGGGTTCTTCATAAGTATTGCTGTTTTGTTCTTCAACCCACTGCACTCTGAACCACCTCCCAGGGAGCTATGAGACGATCTCTCAGTAGCGAAGGTATATATTTCCCTGCCCCCCTCCTGCCCCAAATTCCATACTCATGACACAGAGGCACAGTTAGAGATGAAAAATATGGTTCATTACCTTGGTAGCACAGAGAAAAATGTTATGGCTTTATTTAGCAGTTGCTTTTATGCTTTTAAAGACACGTTAATTTCATTTTTTATGTAATTGTGTATTAAATCATCTCAGACAATTGTGTGATTTGAAAATAACAGTCCAACAAAATAAGTAAAAGCTATAATGTGGTTTTTTCCTTACTGCTTTTTGTAGTCTGTTTTTATGTTTCTCAAGCATTAGTGTCTCCGCTTCTTCCTGGGAAGATTAATCTGGAGGCTTCTAGAGCCTCTTACTTTCCTGTCTTCAGTTCTCCCAGCACTCTGAGCTTCTCCCTGTGGTTTCTGCATCTACTACTTGTGAATTACCAGCCCCAGCAACATTAGGATTTATAAAGCCTTATAATCCTCTAGTCTACTTCCTAATAGGGCCACCGGCTGGATGAAGACCTCAACCCTCGGGAGATATTTTAAGAGACCTAAGCTGCCTAAAGTAAAATTATGAATTCTGGGCTACAGAATATATCACTGTACTTACACAGAATACTGGTCACGAATTTATTTTACTGGAATATATGCAATGGAGTGTATGTAATGTAATTCAGCATGTCTGAGAGATAAGTTTTTCATTTTATTTAAAGACAAGTTGGTCCACTTAGCATGCAATATCTTTCCTATCTCCCATCTTAAGCATTTTAGGAGGAATTTGATTTTTTTGATGGATGTTAATGATGAATTGGGACTCTTGAGGGAACTCTATGTTATGAGTTGATTCAAGACCAATTTCCCATGTATTAGATCTTTTCAAATGTCAGTATATGGGAACAATCAATCTCCCTTTGTGTCTTACTTTCTTTAGTGTGTTTTAATGTAGTTCATTGTTGTAAGACACTGTACGAACTTCCTTTAAGGGAATGTGTACTAGTTTGGTAGAGCTGTTGTAACCACAGACTGGGTAGTTTAAACATCAGAAGTGCATTGTCTTACAGTTCTGGAGGCTGGAAGTCCAAAATCTAGGTGTCTGCTGGGTTGGCTCCTGAGCGCTGGGAGGGAAGGGTCTGTTCTAGGTCTCTCTCATTGATTCATATATGGACATCTTCTCCCTAGATCTCGTCACATTGTCCTTCTTTCATGCACAGCGCTGTGCCCAAGATTATCCTTTTTATAAAGACATCAGTGAGATTAAGGTCCACCCTAATGACCTCACTGTAATTTGATCACCCCTGGAAAGACTCTGTCTACAAATGAGGCCATATTCTGAGGTAATAAGGGGTTCAAGCGATTCTCCTGCCTCAGCCTCCCGAGTAGCTAGGATTGCAGGTTCCCGCCACCAAGCCCTGCTAATTTTTGTATTTTTAGTAGAGACAGGGTTTCACCATATTGGTCAGGCTGGTCTCGAACTCTTGACCTTGTGATCTGCCTGCCTCAGTTTCCCAAAGGGCTGGGATTACAGGCGTGAGCCACCACGCCCAGCTGCACAAAATGACTCTAAATTTAGTTGTAGTGTAACCTCCAAGACATACATATATGTACATGTATGTACACTCCCACTAGCCCATACAACAACTTAAGTATGTATACATAATTAGCATCGAAATTAACTTCTGTCTGAGGCTACCATGAAATGTCAAACTGCCAAACTTTCAGAGCTTGGTACTCTGTCTTCCTGCCTTGGGGAGCTTTTGTATTCAATTTATCGTTAAATAAAACAGCCAACTCAGCAGCAGAATTAGAATAACAAATTATAATAAACTTCTTAAATTTTTGGCTTAAAAAATAAGGTGAGTTAATATTTCTGAAAAATAAATTCCAGAGAGAATAAAGATTTTGAGACAGTTTATTTGTTTGTAACCTTTTCAAGTTGAGCAGAAGAAAAAGAATGTACTCATTAGCTTGTTTGAATATAACAGAAGTACACACAGAATTTGACTAAAAACTAATAGTGGCTTTGTTTAAACATTTCTTTTCTTAACACTTAATAATTTAATAGGAGGAACTGATATCAGAAGCCAAGAGGAACCATGGAACAACTATAGGCTTCAAATTTAAATGCCTTCCTTTGGGCCCATTTAAACTCTTTTTTTGCTCTTTTATGTGCACACACACATACCCACACAGAAAATACACATAACTAATTTAATCAGCGTTTCTGCATGGTCCATTCATCTGATTATGCATCTGAGACTATCTTTTTCTCCAGTAAAAAGGAGTAATGCTGCTATCCACAGTAAGGTGAGGGAAGTTTTCGAAGGCTGCCAGGGGCAAGGAAGCATCCTTTGTCTAATCACTGATTTTCAATGTTTGTCTTTATCATAGCCTGCAATAGGAAATTGGCCGGCTAACTCTGTACAGGGGCTGGGCTAAGTGTTTTACATGTATGCTCTAATTTCATTCTCACAACAATCCAATAAAGTAAGTGACTTTGATCTCCTATGTTACAAGTGAGGAAAAGGAGAATTCAATAGAGATTAGGTGACTGGGTCAAGGACGTAAATACCATAAGTGGTATAGCTGTAGCTTTCGAAAATCTGATATTTTGAAAAGTGAAAGAAGCTGAATTTAACGTAGTGAAAGAAAGATTTTCTTCTCAAAGTCACAGGTTTTTCTGAAGAAATGGATATTCCTCAGTTTGAGGGAGGAGAGAGCTGGATATTTCTACTTTATTATATTGCTGCTAACAATTATTGAGCTCTTACTAGTTGTCAGACACTGAGTAAGCACTGTATGTCAATTACCTCACTTAATATAACTGTTGCCCTATGAGAGAGGTTCTACTGGTGTTTCCAATTTCCAGAGCTTAATGACTTAAGTCACACAGTTAAGATTTAAAGCCTCCAGGCTTGTTCTAGAGTGTGTGCCATAAATACTGCTGTACGATTAGGCTGTCATAAGATAAAGCAACCTCTGTTTTATCAAGCAACTAAGAGTAGCTTGACTTACCCAAAAGGATGTGTTGATAAAAATTAGGGCGTGTTATCCAACTTCTCAACTGAATTACATATGGAATGAAAGTAATCTACCATTTAAAAGAATTCTGTAAAAAAATCTGAAGGTTGGGCAAATAAATTAGTCAGCATAATTTTTTTAAATAATATTATTAAAAAGGAGGGGGGTTCAAAACCCAAAAACTTCAATGATCCCACCAAAGGAGACTCAGATTATGGCACATCCACATGAATATATAGTATTCAACCATACAAATCACGTTTGCAAAGATTTGTGAATAATATGGGAAACTACTTCTCAAAGTTTAAGTGACATTGAAAATTGTTTTTAGAGTAAGGTTTCAAACATATGCAAGTATTTAAAAAAATAGTCTAGAGAAAATACACTAACATGTTAGCAGGGTTTATTCATCATATCCAGGTGATAAAAATTAAGGAGAGTTTCCAATTATATCCTGCAGCAGTTTTTAAATTTTCTATCAGTTGTACATATGACTTTTGTAATCAGGGGAAAATTACATTTTTGAAAGATAACTCTATAGCGATGAAACATTTTTTACAACTAAAATACCATCTCATAATTTACATGCACTCAGTGCTCCATCACAGGGGTCAGCAAACTTTCTCTGTAAAGGTCTAGATAGGAAATATTTCAGACTTTGCAGGCGAAGCTGCAAAATTGACGGTAATATATGCATACTCACATAACAAGAAAGAAAACAAATGCCCACAGTTTTTGGCGAAATTCAAAATATAATACTAACAATTTAGCATAATTTTTTGTAATACCAGTCTAGTAATGAAAAGACTGAAATTCTTTTTGTATGTATATGCTAACAGTTTGCTTAATTGAGGCTCAAAGTCAGTGTTACTATCACCGGCATTTATTGTAAATGTCCATCTGTGAATGCTGATCTAGAGTGAGCTTCTATTTCATACTTATTTCATCTTTGAAAATGGCTGTTCACACAGGTACGTGACACATGTGGCACTTGAAACGCTGTCGAGTTATAACTGCTTCACTGTGATTTATAGTGTGCCAAGCAGGGAGCGTCACACATGGTCTCTGTTGCAGCTACAGAACCGTGCCTTTGTAGTATGGAAGCAGCCATAGACAATGCTAATGGCGTGGATGTGTGCCAATAAAACTTTATTTATGGAACACTAAAATTTACATTTTAAATCGCTTTCAGATATTACAAAATATTATTCCAGTTTTGATTTTTCAGCTATTTAAAAATATAAAAACAACATTTTTCTAAAAAAAGGATTCTAAAAAAGAGGTAAATCTATTTTCAGCTCATGGACTGTACAGGAACAGGCAGCAGGCCATATTTGGTCTGTGGGCTGCAGTTTGCCAATCCCTGATCTAGAAGTAGGCACACATCTCTTGTAAACTTCAGCAGCAACCATGTGATAGCCCTGGATGTAATTATATATCCTTTTTAAAAACTGAAATGCCTTTATATAAAATGACGTCTCTAATTTCACAGATTCTTTTATGGGTGAAGAAACTACACAACCAGACAGTACAAAATATTGAAAAGACATTCTGAGGATATGCTTGTAGAATCGGAAAGAAATTAAGGGTTCCGATATCCAAAATGTGTTGTATCTTTCAGACCTATGAATTTTTTATGGGAATTCCTGGTTTTCAGAAACTGTGCTGTTAAACAGACTTCTTATATTAACCTTTTAAGAAATAACATCAAATATTTAGAATCTTAAAAATAAAACTACCAAGCCTACTCAAATTTCATCTCTCTATCTTATGTTTATGTGTTATTTCTCCCCTGACTGGCTACTTGAGGCCTTTAGCAGAACACAAAAGATGCTCTAAAGGGTTAGGGAGAATTTTGAGCAAGAAAATACTTGATAGAAGCTTAAAGAAGCTGAAAAGTGTTTTAAAATAAATGAACGACCTGCTTTGACCATATCCTTGGTGCAAAGTTCATTAAGAAGTGATGTATGAATCATTTACATCGCAATCATCTAGATTTTGTGTCAAAATGCAGATTTCCAGGCCTAAGTTATTTCTAAGAGCACTAACTTTGGTGCACTAGAGTTTCAGAAGTTGTTCCAGGAAAACACCGAATAGCTACCATTTGCAAAGCATCCCATGTTCACATTTCCTCTTTAGTAATTTACATGCATAATTCTGCAACTCTTGCTCACCTCCTTATGAGATGGAAATTTCTACAAAACAGGGGAATACTTGGAGAAATAATTTTGTACCTGATAAAAAGGTGTACAGTCTTTATAAAAACATTACGAGCATTAACCAGTGCTTATGCCAGGCAGCCGTTTGTGTAACTCCTATTATGGGAATGTCTTACAATCAGTGAGGAAGAGAGAGGGGAAGTAAGCAGTCAGTTAAGAGGGGTGCCAGGGAAAGCCTTAGGCTGGGATGGAAAAGAAGACATAACTGACTATTGGATCAAGGATTCCAAATGAAAGCTTACCTGCTGGAAGATGGGATTCAAATATGCAAAGCAGGGCACAAGTCAGAACCATTCCCAATTACTTTTTAAAACTGTAAACAGTTCAGCCACATTCCTTGAAGTGTGGTTGCAAATGCCTTAGACGCCTTTATAAAATGCAGATTCCTGGACCATTCCCAGACGGGTTGACTCAGAATCCCTGCAGTGTGTCCAGAAATCTGTATTTTAAACCATTCAAACAGTCATGCATTAAAATGTTAAAATGGCCCACTCCCTAGACACGATTCTGTTCTTTCTTTTGAATTGTTCAATGTCTTTAAATTTTGCATTTCACCAAACATTTTACTGATCTTACTATGCTTCCGGTTTCCATATACCAGGGAATGAACTTGCAATGATGGCTTCAAGTTTACAGTCTAGTAAGTAAATATGCTACCACAATGCAGAGTAAAAAACGTGATGCCAATAAATCTAAGAAGCTATGAAAACATTGAAAAGTGAAAATGAAAACTTTATGTTCAAGTAAAGGGCCCATTTTTCCTTTGGAGTATTATAATCTGCTTTTTTTAAAGATGATTTTCCAGGTAATAATATTTTAAATCCTAAATTCCTTATTCATAATTAAAATCTATTTGTTTAGACTATAAACTTGACAGTGTTTCTAAAAAGTAATCTATGAACAATGTATATTAAAATAATCTGGATGCCAATGAGTTTGTCCTTTAAAAATTCTTAGTTTGAAGGCTTAATCTATTCTATTCCATTTCTGTTATTCAATAGTTTGGGAGAGTAGGACCCCAAATCTTTCACTTTTATATAATTGGCTTCAGACCAATAACTTATGAAGGAATTTCCCCTGTTTTGTATGCAATTTAACTGAGTAGTTTAGGGATTGAGTAGAATAAAATCCAGCAAAGGCTTATATTTCCAAGTATTCTGGTCTTTACAAAAAAACCATGATAACTCAGAGGTTTAGATAAATCTGGGTTTGGTCCAGTGTCTAACTTTCTAACTGTGTGTCCTTGGACAACTAATATAACTTCACAAAGTTTGTTTCTGCTTATATCTACTATACTCAATTTAGTTCCAAACTGATATCACTGTCATACATACATGATACACACACACATAAACACATGTACCTGTATACACACACACACACATATATATAAAGTAGTCATATGCAATCATGCTTATTTTGCAATATTGTGAAAATTAAATAAAATAATACATATAAAGTGATTAGCAAAGAACTCAGCCCATAGCAGGTGCTCAATGAACATTAAGGGGTGGGGCTAAGATAAAGTAAGAGTAAGAGAACAAGGCACTTGAGGTTGGAGCAAAGAAAAATGCAAAACCGAGAAGTCATATCATAAAAGCGAGAGAGGAAGGTGCAAAATGTTTTAAAAATGGTTTGCTACTAATATCTTCCATAGCTGTGCTTTTTTGTAGTGAGACATAACTTTTCTTTTGTGCTATTTAAAACAGTGGCCATGCCAGCTTCTCATTGATGGAATGGACATCATTAAAATAAGTCCAATATAGAGTAACCCCAGAAAGGTTACAAGTATTTCATCTGAACTCTGAAAATGTCAAGCCATATCCGGCTGGTGGATGGTGATAGGAAACCCATTTCCAGTTATCATATGTTAATGAAGGCAAACAATGCACAAGCTACAAGGAGGGGAAAAAGCCCAGAATGAGCAGAGTCCAGAGTCTATGCCGTTTCCTACATTTCCAGCATCATTAAAATATGCAGATTGTATCATTAGGAGACAGTTTCCTGGCAGAGTTTTCTCCTGGAGTTCAGTTACAGGCACATGTTTAGCAGTTTTATCACAATGAGTTAAACCACAGCTGTACTCTTCTATGTAAAAGCAAACAGAAAAGAAGATGAGGAAACAGAAGCAGCTCCTGCAAGCCATGTTTTCATTTGGATTGTTTTATTTTCTTCAAAGTATTAGTCAGTATTTTTAAAGAAATGGCCATTGAGCCTTGTTTGTTTCAGTCCTTCAACGATATACAAGAACCACACTGCAACTTCATGTTTTCCTGGTGTTTCGCTCTTCCCAGTTTGAGTGCATGTGAAAATATATTTAATGCAACAGCATTCACTACACCTGGGTTTAATTTAGCAAGGTGATTATGAGTAACTACTAAATTGAATGAACCGTAATTCCCTAACTAAACTTCAGCTTCAAAACAAGCATTTTATTGTTCATCTCAATTCCTTACTTCTTTCATATCTTCCTTCTTTTTTTCTTCATTACTTGCTTGGTTGCTTTTTTCTTCCCTTCTTTCCCACCTATTGCCCTCCTTTCCTCCTTCCATCTTAATATATTATCTATCTGTCTATCTGTCTATCATCTATCCATCTATCTATCCTCTATTTTTTTGGTGGGCAAAGTGGAGAAGGAAGAAAAAGTGATATTAAAAATATATCTTACCAATAAGCCTAGTAGAACCTCACCAATCAACACTTTTGACATGAAGGTCCAGTGCAGATTACCACTTTGAGAAAACTGGTGACTGAATAGGAATACTAAAAAGGTGACTGGTAACCAAACTTATTTTGTAGATAACAACATTTAACAATGCAATAATGTGAAACTGTATGTAAACAATAGATGTCAGCTATTATTATTACATACAAATACTATTTATTCAATTTCCTCTGTTAATGGTTCCTCAAGCATAGTCTGAGACCTCCCCCCCCACCCGCCAACAGGGCCTGGAGATCATAACTATTTTTATTATAATGTTTATGCATTTTTGTCTTTTTCATTGTGTTGACATTTGTGAAGAGGAAAACGGCTGGTTCCTTAGCACGAGTCAAAGGCATAGCAGAAAATTGTTTTACTAGTCATGGTATTTTTTTTTTTTTTTTTTACTATTATTCACTCACAGAAAAAAAAAATTCTAGTTTCACTGAAAAATGCTTTTGGCGAAGCAGTAAAAATTATTAATTTTATTAAATCTTGGCCCTTGAGTACATTTAAAAAATATATTCTTTGTGATCAAATGGGAAGTATGCATAAAGCATTTTAGTTTGGAAACCAAAGTATCATAGTTGCCTTGAGGAAAAGTATTTGTATGATTGTTTTAGTTCTGAGCTGAACCATCACTTTTTTTATGGAACATTATTTTTATCTAAAATAATCTCTGAAAGACAACTGTGGCCATACAGACTAGTCTATTTAACATTCTCTAGAAAATAAATCAAGAGACTTAGTCACTTTAAAGAAATCAGCTATTGGCTGGGCACAGTGGCTCACTCCTGTAATCCCAGCACTTTGGGAGGCCAGGGCAGACAGATCACCTGAGGTCAGGAGTTCGAGACCAGCCTGGCCAACATGGTGAAAACCTGTCTCTATTAAAAATAGAAAATTTAGCTGGGCGTGACAGCAGGTGCCTGTAATCCCAGCTACTTGGGAGGCTGAGGCAGGAGAATTGCTTGAATCCAGGCAGCAGAGGTTGCAGTGAGCCAAGACCATGCCATTGCACCCCAGCCTGGGCAACAAAGAGTGAAACTCCACCTCAAAACAAAAAAACAAAAAAACAAAAACCAGCTATATCAGTATTTGTTGCCAGTGATTCAATTCAAGCTTTCAAGCAAAAATTCATCCTGTGTAAGACTTCAGTTTGCCATCATGAGCACAATAGTTTCCCAACACTTCAAGACCTTTCTGATAAGCTTGATGGTGATTTACAAATATGATTTTTTGACATTTTATAATGAAATGTGTCCACATGTGGAAGATCTGCATACCTCAATGAAACAACATTTTTCCTAATGACCAAAGTGTACTGTTACAAGACCATGCACAAGGAAAAAGACCATTGAAACTGCAAGAAAAGTCAATGGATTTTAGTACAAAAAGTTCATTGATATGATTTCAAAAAGATTCTACACTGTAAATAGTCTTTAAGAAACTACCACTAATGGAATTTTTGTAAGACCGAATAAGAATATCCATAATCACCTGAAAAAGCTATTCTTAAAAATCTCCATTTTCAATCTATATATCTGTATGAAGCTGGATTTTCTTCATATACTTCAACGAAAATAACAAACCCAACTGTATTAAGTCAGACATTAAAGATATTTGGGAAATAATAAAATAATGTTATTCTTCTCACTTAAATACTTTAAAAAATTTATATGCTTTTTTCTACTATAAAGACGCATGTACATGTATTTTTTTTCAGCACTATTTACAATACAAAGACTTGGAACCCACCCAAATGCCCATCAATGATAGACTGGATAAAGAAAATGTGGCACATATACACCATAGAATACCATGCAGCCATAACAAAGAATGAGTTCATGTCCTTTGCAGGGACATGGCTGAAGCTGGAAGTCATCATCCTCAGCAAACTAACACAGGAACAGAAAACCAAACACTGCATGTTCTCACTCATAAGTGGGAGCTGAACAATGAGAACATATGGGGACAGGGAGGGGAACATCACACACTGGGGCCAGTTGTGGGGCAGGGTGGGGCAAGGGGAAGGAAAGCATTAGGACAAATACCTAATGCATGCGGGGCTTAAAGCCTAGATGATGGGTTGACAGGTGCAGCAAACCACCATGGCACATGTATACCTGTGTAACAAACCCGCACGTTCAGCACATGTATCCCAGAACTTAAAGTAAAAACAAACAAAAAAAAATTATATGCTTTTTAAATAAATTTTTAAATATGTTATTTAAGTTACTGTGTAATGGGTTTATTGCTATTTTAAAATAAATAAATAAAATATTTTCATGATTTCTCAGTTTTATTTTTAATCAGTAAATATTGGCAGGTATAATGTACATAAACAATACTTCTTTGGGTCAATAGTTTCTAAGAGTGTAAAGATACCTTGCAGCCCAAATTTTGAGGAAGGCTGTTCTAGGTACATGTGATATTCTTCAACGTATTTAATTCTTTAACAGTTAAGGTATTATTCAATAATTTTCAGTATAAGTTATGTTATGTGCATTAAACATATTTCTATATATACCTAAGTATAAGGTCAATCCTTCTCAAAGGAAATATCCCTTAGAAAACAAATATTGCATATATTTGTGTTTTCAATTTTTATGGTTAGCTCCGACAATTTTTATTATTTTTCACAACATAATATACTTGGAGGAGATATATCTGCCTGAAACATCTAAAAATATACTAGGTTTGCAAACTTTTGGTGGTTCACTGATTAAACCGAAATCAGTAAATAAAAATGAAGAAAGGCAAAATTTGAAAACAGTCCAGATTTTGTTCTTTGTCCTGGATTTATACATCTTTCAAATAAGCATGCCAATAAATCTTTCAAATATCTCTTTTTAGGCCAAGTGCAATGGCTCACGCCTGTAATCCCAGAACTTTGGGAGGCTGAGGCGAGCGGATCACCTGAGGTCAGGAGTTCAAGACCAGCCTGACTAACATGGCGAAACCCTGTCTCTACTAAAAAATACAAAAATTAGCCAGGTGTGGTAGTGAGCGCCTGTAATCCCAGCTACTCGGGAGGCTGAGGCAGGGAGAATTCCCTGAACCCATGAGGCAGAGGTTGCAGTGAGCCATGATCACGCCACTGCACTCCAGCCTGGGCGACAGAGTGAGACTCCGTCTCAAAAAAAAAAAAGTCTACTTATTTAAAAAAACAGTCTAGTATAAAACCTACCATGGAGATTAGTATTTGCTTATTGGGTGAATGGGAAAAGTAAGAGTTGTAACAGGTTCTTGTGGATTGGAATAAAATGAACACCATACATGAATTCATGAACTGCTGTATCCCCAAACCCTCAGACTGAGGTGAAGATGAAAGCTCTGAACACCTATATTAGGTAAAAACGTTGATATTGAATATGAATGTAAAATTAAACAAAAGTATCTCATTAAATTTGTGTTACAGTTTGAGCAAATATATGATATAGTTAAAATCTTGTATAACTATACTAATAAATTAGACTGTAAGTAAATACTTGACAACTTCATCTACATCTCTAAAAGTTTTCATAATGGACTTGACAAAAAACATTTTTATTTAAAAAATTTCATCATTGGGTAAGTGGGGTAGGCGTTTCCTTGAAATAGCTTTATTTTTAGGTTAGATTAGATTTTTAATCTAATCCATAAATCCTGCTAGGAAAAAATCATTACAGATGGAAAACTGAATA
The DNA here is from genome assembly GCF_000001405.40 of Homo sapiens. NCBI lineage: Eukaryota > Metazoa > Chordata > Mammalia > Primates > Hominidae > Homo > Homo sapiens. The sequence continues at coordinate 167,473,984 of NC_000005.10, read as the reverse complement.
TCAGAGAGTTTGAGAACCTGCTTACAGTAAGCATGCTAATTGGGATTAAAACTCAGGCCCATTGCAAAGCTCCAATTTTCCCTTGAGTTGATGATGCTCATTGAGTATCTAATGGTACAGGTACTGCTCCAGTCCTGAACCACAAATTCTCAGGTCATCAAATTCTCACATCAATCCATAAGATAGGTACAATTTTGATCCAATTTTCTAAATAAGGAAACAGATGTGTCCAATATCACACAATTAGTAACTAGCTGCACTGACATGTGATCCTGTTCTGGATTCAGTGTCCTTACTCTAACCCCCTACTGGACATTGACTCACAATCTACAATAACACTTCTACGATCTGCTCAATCTCACCACCATTATATAGGCATTTCTATGAAACAAGTAGCAGATCGAAAACTATAAGCCACTCTTTCCTTTTCAAAGATTCAGGTAGAATATACGGCAATAAAAGCATAGCTGAAAAGATATTTTCAAATATATTTTTAAAAATTCAGAATGAGAATGAACTTTCCTTCGTCCTTGGTTCTTTAAAGAAATGTGCTATTTAGCTCAAGTTTAAATATGTCTAGGGAAAAGTTATATGATGCTGAAAGTGCCAGACCATGCCTGGGACTATCAGATTCATTTCTCTCCACATATATAACCAGTAAAGAAACAATGACAAAAAAACAGTATTGTTAACATCAATAAGAGTAAGAGTGATTATGTTTGTCAAATAATTTGGATGGCATGACATTCAGATCTAGATAACATGTAAAACCTAAAGGGCAGTTATGCTCACAATGATAAGCCTACATAGGTATGTACATAACACAAAAATTAATCATAAAAATATCAAAGTCTTTTTGTGGAAAAAAGCACTACACAGAGCTGGGAAAATGGCAAATGTCAACACACACGATAGTGTTATCATCCAAGAACTGAAAAAGTTTCCAGTTTCTTTTTTTTTAACTGAGTGTATTTGTTTTTAGTTTTTCAATTCCCACCCCAATTTGTTTATTGTCCAGTGGGGACATAGAAAAGTTATTAAATTCCTCAAGGTCACACTGAAAGTCACAGCTGTTCTTGGGAAAGGGGCTTATGTATTCCTAAGGCCCAGCTAGGTCTTTTGGCTTCCTGAAGTGTATGAGTCCATGTGGAATGAAAGAATGCTCTTAAGCAAATTCCAATTATGGTTTATTAACTTCACACGTAGCATTTATCTTTCAGTTTCCAAAAATAGCAGAACCAATTAAACTGTCTGTTTAGCACGAAGGTTTTTTTTCTAACTTTTAATTTTTCTTCAGATAAAGCCTTTATATGAAGATAAATGGAACACTAGAGATACGAGGGAAAGGGAAGAAGCCATTACTTCCCTGTCACCACCACCATTTTCTTTCCCGGTCACTCTAAGGCAACCAAGGCAAGACCTTTTCTGTTCCTGAACTGATGTATAACATCCTCAGCCAAGCAAACCAGCCAATTTTAGGCATGATGGATAGCAGTGAAAATTAGTCATTCAGGACAGTCATTACTATAAAATAAAAACCCAACAATTTCTAGTGTTCTAGCCACTGTCAAAACAAAATTAAACTATTGCGGCTAGAAAAATAGTAGGCTTGTGAAAGGAGGCTTAAGAAGAGTATTTTACTTTACACTTAAAACACTGGCTATAATTTCCAATAATGGGTATAAAAGGGAAACTTAACTTGGTGAAAACCCTTCAGGGAGCTAACTTTTAAGATGTTTCCTTTAAGGTTCTCTCTCACAACTCTCATTTTTAAAAGGTGCATGCTCAAATGAGGGCCACAGAGAGCTGGAAGTGGAATTTCCAAATTGGATGTCTTCAGTGGAAACAAAAATTGCAGGAAGTGTCTGTTCTGGAAGTTAAAGGGAGACTAGTGAAAAACAGGAGCCTCTACTCTCAATTTGGCTGGATTACCATTAACTTCCAGAAACCACTAATGGTCTAAGGAGCAAAAGATAGGCGAGCAACCTGGGGCTCAAGCCAGCTTAACTGGCAATGGCGTTGCATACCAAGGAAGAGATTCTCAAAAAGAAGGCTCAGAGAAAGAAAAGGATTTACCTTATACCACACTGCCAGGACTCAATCCACAGCCTCTTGACACTTAATCTAGTTCTTTTTCCACTATACTGCAATGCTGTGAATTGGAGATTACATTTTTCCCCTCTCCAGATTTTCAACGTAAAGCCTCTCTTGACTTTTTGCACTGATGTAGATACCATACTTCTGCGTCTATCACCACACACCTACCTGTCTAACAAGAGCTGTGGGAATGTCATAGGACACATTCGTATTATATAGTCTGCCACGCTGTTCTGTTGAATGTGTATGGTAATTATTTGACACTTCTAAGAGATGACAACTATCTTGAAATAATAAAATTGCAATTATCTTATCAAATTTAATATTCTGTATTCTTCAGAACTGATTTTTTTTATTGAAGATTGCCACTTCAGCGTACCTGATTAAACTTGAATTCTTACATTATTGTACCTTTCGTTACTTTTATTCTTAGAGTTTTGTTATTGTATTAACTCCTTCTTCTCCATTACCATGCTTTTTATTTTTATTTTATTCCTTTTTAGAAAACTGCTACAGATTATTCCTCTTTTACAAATATTCAGAGAACTCTACTTAATTACACAGCCATAGCTTGGGAAAGAATGTTAGCTCCTAGCCAAAGGGAAACAAAATGATTGTACTTGTAGATCTAACTCATAAGGACCTTAGTCTCCCTTCAGTGTACAACAGAGCAAGGAAGAATTCTCATGAATATGTAGAGATGGGAAGCAAGGGCATGTCATAAAGTAGCCACATCTTCCTTCATAATATAGATTACTTGCTTTCTAAGTTAGGGGATCCTCGCCAGAGAAGCCGCAGTCTTGCAGATTCAGGATTTCAGACTTTTATTTTTTAAACTATCTTTCATTATTTGACAGATGAGAAAACTAAGGTCCAGGGATTCTAAAGACTGATTTAAAACCACTCAGTTATCTAATGAGGCTGGAGAGAAAGAACACAGACCCTTTGGCTATCATTCAATTGCTCTTTCATCAAATTTCCATACTAAGCTGCCAAACCCTATATAGATGACAGACCTCCTTCAATGGGTCTCTATAAGTCATTTTTAAAGAATGAACAGTTTCTGGATGCTATTGCAGGATCCTTTTCTTCTGAATTGTAAATGGCTACCTCGCTTGTGTTGCTTGCCTCAGCCTCCACAACTCCATGACCAGGCATGTGATATGTATGACAGCATACCAGGGTCTTGATTTGGCCTCTTTCAGATCATTGAGTAGAGGAGGAACTTCTTCAAGTTCCACCTCCATGGAACAGACCATTACTTCCAAGGATTAGTGAGAAAATATTATTATAATGCTTTCCTTAATCCTACAGTTCAGAAAGAATCTATTTTTCTAAATTTAAAAGCAAAAATAAAAGCCAGACTAAATTAATTGCAAATAGATTTTGAGGAAAATAGCCTTCCATAAGCAAAAAAAAAAAAAAAAAAAAAAGCAAGCATTGCCCATACCTCTCTGTAGTTTTGAATTTCAGAATCATGTTACAATTTCAAAGGTTCTACTGACATATTAGGAAGTAAAATGATGATTTATAATTGAACTGGAAGTAAAATGGTGATCTATAATTGAACTGGAGTCACAAAATATAGGCAATTATATTTGTCAGTATAGACAAACATAACTTCCTGCTTAAGATCTAGTAATGTGATTTATGTCTGGGTCATCATCTATTGCTGCAAAACCTTCTATTACTGGCTTATTAAAGCTTCATTATGGTAGAAATCCTGACTGTCCAAATGGTTCCATTTCATTCTGAAAACTTCCTATTTGGAAATGATTGACACAAGTGATCTTTTTCCAATAAACTATTTGAGGCTTGCTGATCATTGCAACATTTTATTGTGGATATAAAAGGACTTTATTCAACTCGTAAAGAGAAATTATTTGAAGTGAGTTATATCTGGAAAATATTATATGTGCATAGAGAAAAGATAAAGGAAGATAGTGGACACTACTAACATGGTAAATTTATAAGATTATGATGAAACAAAACACATTTGCAATTTTTCTGAAAGGTAAGAAATTTCTTGTTCAGAACAATAAACGTAAGATGCAAGGTATGACTACTCCCATGCTGTCTCCATTATTTAGTTTCTTTTAATAAACACACACAGCTAAAAAATCCTCATCTCATGTCTTATTTTTCTGAAAAAAAAATCTAGGATTTCAATTGCTAATAAAAATGGATTATAAATAAAAATGTAAAGGAAAAAGAATTAAATAAAATCCTAAATTGCAATCAGAAAAGTAACTGCAGAAATGATTTGTTAATGGCTAATGACTCATTAAACCAAACACTTGCATTATAAACTTCATAAGCACTTTAAAAACTGTGGCCACAATTAAAAGGTTATACACAATAACAAATATTCTAGAAAATGTCGGAAAAGCCATAATTTACTATAGCAGACATCCAGAGTTGTGTCTAACATATTGCATTTAAGCCTAAATTTAGAAAATTGATTTATAACATTAATTTAATCTTTACTTGGGAAAATAACAAATGCTTATCATAATCAGGCTGTAATTAAAAAACAAATAGTCTTGCAAAAGTCTCTTTATACTGTAGTTTACAAGATGCCATTTCTGCATTGAAAAATATGTTTTTTAAGTAACCATCAAACATGTTTATTAAAACCTAATTACATAGACATGAAAATATGCATTTTGATGCAGCGTTAGGACTAATCCCTAGTTTGATGATCTTCTTATCAGCCTAACTTCAGATGAAAAGAAAACCCACAAACTTTACTTTTTATCTGTTTCAAGATTAAGCACTCCATGTAGCGTATCCCACAGAATAGTTTTATTAAGATAGCATTTAAAGTTTCTATGTAAATCTAAAGGTACTTCTTTTAAATATAGGAAAACAAAGTTAGAATTAAAATACACTTAATTACACATTATTCAGGAAGACAGAGATGTTTACAAGTGGCATCATTTGAACATGGGAAAGGTAGACCTTCAATTGAGTACAATAGAAATGTCTTCTATCACAGAAGTGTCACATTTTTTAATGATACTGTGCTTTCTCTTCCTGTGCATATCACATGTTAAAACTGCTGAATTATTTGAATACTACAAATAAAAAGCTGGGATACATACAGCACATATTTCATTTGAGAATCAATGATTCAATATAAAGGTTCTTATAAATTGTCTAAGAGAGAAAGTGGTATCAGAGAAGTACATATTGGTATTTGATGGTTGGTTCCATCATAAAAAGAGAATTGCTATAAATTTTAGAATAGAATTAAACACAACTTTGCCTGCTAGCTTTCTAAGCTCTGCAAATTTTTGGTTTCCCCTTTCTAAGACTTATGGAAAAAATAATAATGATGCCCTCATAGGCACATTATTCTTGCTATCAAAAATATATGTAAATGTATTACAGAGCACTTCATTACTTCATTCCCATTTTCAACACATGATGGACAGTTTCTGAACACCTGAAGTTTTGTTTTTCCTCCTTTTCCCATTTCTAATTATTAAAATTCACCTTATGCTTAACTTCTAAGAGTAGCATGCACAGACATTCTAGTGTTGCAAAGTAGACTAATATTACTGTTTCTGAAAACTCAAGAATTCCTAGAAGTTCTGTTTGTGCTCATCATGGGCCATCCTTCCAGAAAACTTTCTCTAACAAGATGTGGGATGGGCGTGGTGGCTCACGCCTGTAATCCCAGAACTCTGGGAGGTCGAGGAAGGTGAATCACCTGAGGTCAGGAGTTCAAGACCAGCCTGGACAGCATGGTGAAACCCCGTCTCTACTAAAAATACAAAAATTAGCTGGTCATAGTGGCTCACACCTGTAATCCCAGCTACTCAGGAGGCTGAAGCAGGAGAATCGCTTGAACCCGGGAGGCAGAGGTTGCAATGAGCCGAGATCGTGCCACTGCACTCCAGCCTGGGCGACAAGAGCGAAACTTCGTCTCAAAAATATATATATATATGTGAATAGAATACATGCCAGCTTATAGGTTTATACTTCTGATCAAGGTGCTAGCGAACATTTCTCCAGAAATATCCACAAATATATGAGGTAACCAAATACTTAATCTACTATAATATACATACCTAAATGTTATATTGTATGAAATTTTCTACCATATACATAAATCAAGCAGGGCTAGTAGACTAACCTACCACATAAAATTTTAATTTAGCTTATTCAGTATCACGGTGTTCTATAAAATATGTTCTTATTTTCATCATAATTCCAGTCCTATTTTCACTGTAACAAATATGGAAAGGAACAAATATCTTTCTCTGGGTTCGTGAAATTTAGAAGGGCTTCTATGTGGGATAATTTAAAAGGCATCTTTGAAGATCCCTCTGAAATGGCACAAGGTTACTGTTTTTTTTTTTTTTTCTCAAACAAGAGTAATAATGACCTATCTTACCTTCATTTGTTATTGTAAATTTTATTTTACCTAAGGTGAGTATATTAGTCCATTCTCACGCTGCTGTAAAGATACTACCTGAGACTGGGTAATTTATAAGCAAAGGAGGTTTAATGGACTCACAGTTCCACACGACTGGGGAGGCCTCAGGTAACTTTCAATCATGGCTGAAGGGGAAGCAGTCACCTTCCTCACAAGGCGGTAGGAGAGACTGTGAGCATGTGAGGGTGGAACTGTCAAACACTTATAAAACCATCAGATCTTGTGAGAACTCACTCACTATCGCGAGAACAGCATGGGAGAAACCACCCCCATGTTCCAATCACCTCTCTCCAGGTTACTCCCTTAACACTTGGGGATTATGGAGATTAGAATTCAAGATGAGATTTCAGCGGGGATACTACCAAGCCATAACAGTGAGTCTAGCTTTAAGGACCAAGTTTATTAAACTTACTGCTGAATCCAAAATTAGGATTCATTTCCTCCAATTTGGCTGGGCAACTTATGTTTCGTTGTATGCTGCATGCCTTGATTATAGTGTATGACATATGGCTAAAATCAGCAAAGCACCCGAAGTCCGAACTACTTCAGGTGAATCACTGTGCAGTTGGAGCCTCCTTATACACAGTATTAGTACGTGGGGAGACCTTGCTTACGTGAGAAAATCATTAGTAACAGTTTACAAACTAAGTCAGAACTCGGCCAAATTTGTATTACTTATACAAATTACTTGAATAAGTAATTTATGTTCCTACAAAACAAAGTTAAAGATACACTTTGGAAAAATCATTTTCCATTAAAAATAATATTTTTGGAATATTGAATGTCAACACATTTATAAATGAAAACTTTACTATATTTTAAGTATTTTTAACTATCAGGCATAATAAAACTATGTTTAGTTATCAATAAAATTATATTCCTCAAAAGATGTTATCATGGTGCAAGATATCAGCCACTATGATAATTGCAATGAATGAGAAACCTCGAAAACAGTAGCACACATAAATTTGTTTCATTGTATGCATTGAGACACATGTAGATTTTTGGACTGCCTTAATTCAATTTACTTTTCTGTTATGTATATTAGACATTGTAGGACTATGAGGTTAGCTATAGGTATGACATGTGTCTCTAACACCCAATTGAACTTGAAGCAGTGAGGCTGTGTTTGACAACACAAGTAGGGAGGAGAGTTCGTGAGCCCATGCTTGGGAAGTGTGCTATAGAGGAGCAAGGAGTGGAGGAGGAGGAATTCAGCTATCTCTGGACATTGAAATAGCAAACTATCCTTAGGACCTTTCAGAGAGCAGTGGGCCACATAAGGGAAACCATATTCGTAGGAACGAGCTTTATCTCCTCTTCAAGAAGATTGTAATGACTTCATATAGTGTGAAGAGTAGATGATAAAGCCAGACTGAGGGGGGAGAGGGGGAAGTCTAAACCTGAAGTCAGTCACCATTAGGTCTTTTTTCTTAAGGAAGATTACATTTGGGTCAGTATCATTAGGAACCAGAATCAATATTCAGTCATGTGCCCTGGACATTCATGGACTTTGGATCAAGGCAGATACTGATACATCCCATACATCCCAGGTTTCTCATAGTGTAGTTTTGTGACCTTGGGCATGTTTCTTTCTTTCTTTCTTTCTTTTTTTGAGACAGTCTCACTCTGTCACCCAGGCCAGAGTGCAGTGGCGCGATCTCCGCTTACTGCAAGCTCCGCCTCCCGGGTTCACGCCATTCTCCTGCCTCAGCCTCCGGAGTAGCTGGGACTACAGGCGCCCGCCACCAAGCCCGGCTAATTTTTTTTGTATTATTAGTAGACACGGGGTTTCACCGTGTTAGTCAGGATGGTCTCGATTTCCTGACCTCGTGATCCGCCTGCCTCGGCCTCCCAAAGCGCTGGGATTACAGGCGTGAGCCACCGCGCCCGGCCCGGGCATGTTTCTTATCCAGGCTGAGCTTCATCTGTCAAATCAGATTAATAATACTTTCATAGGATGGATAGAGAGTCCCAGTGAGATCATGGAGATTGCAGAGCATGGTGCTTGGTGGAGAGTGGAAGTTCAGCTCATGATTCTCCTTTGCCCCATCTCTCCCCCTCACTTAAGGATAGGAAGAAAAGGTGACTTCGAGAGAGTGTGTGAGCTGTTGATTGTTTTAACAAAACAAAATAAGATACATTCATCTTTAATAGCATCTCACACTATTCCAGAAACTCCGTTACATGGGAAAAAAGCCATATTAGAATGCTTAAATAGTCATATATGTGAACATTCACCAAATCAGAGTTCTGGCTATGCATTAGCACCTAACATCAAATGTGGGGAACATCTCTGCTTAGGACCGATATTAGACAAATTGTACTTGACATCACTTGCAACTTAAACACCTCTAGTAATGTGTGAATATCCAAACTAGAGAGATGTGAAATATTTTTTGAGAACGGTGCTTTAAAACTTTCCCACGGTAAACACATCAATGTCATGTAGTGAACTTGAGACACTTTATTGGAAAAGTTATGGACCATAAGTTAGATTTAACTGTACATACTATGCATGCTGATTATCTCAATTAAATTGGAATAGTTCAGCACATTTTCAACAAATGCATAGTGAAGTGCTTTTTTTCAGAAAATTTACTTAGAGAGAAATTAATCTCTTGCTAATACTAATGAAACAGATTTGAAAGCTGAAACAATATCCAATTATTTCCTACAATAGAAATTTACCATAATCTCCTATAAGTTAATACAGTCAGGCCTGTTGTGCAGTTCCAGGGTTCTGTCTTTAATTTCTGAAAATAAATTTATAAATATTTTGGTTTTCTTTGCTGAGGTGAGTGCATTTATAGCTCTTCACCCTTAATGTTATAATGAAAATTCAAAGACTTCTATAAGTAATACTAAATAGCAAGAAACATTAAAAAGAAAAACCTAATATGGTATTCGTGATACAGGCTCACATCAGCAATTCATCATTAAGGGATTTTACTTTTTGCCCCTTCCTGTTATAAAAACTGTGTATCCAGATAGATGATTAGATTACAACAGATGTGAATTTCTTTATTACTCATCTGTACAAAGAGGCTATCTATATACTTGTCGAAGATATACTCTATGGTAATACGAGGTTGTAGATGGTATTAGGGTTTACCTGCTTAACATTGCCCTACTCCCTTTATGAGAGAGGGTGAAAAAAGAAAAGAAAACAATGCACATTCTCTCTCTCTCTCTCTCTAAAGCATCTTTTCTTCAGCTCACATAAACTTTTCCTCAGGGCTAGAACTCTTCAACTCATTCCTGATAGGCAGCAAGTCTCCTAAGAACAAATATTTCCTCTGAGTCAGCAATTAAATCTGACACAATCAATGAAGATGAGAAATTGTCATTAAGTCCCCTGAGGCAGCTCTGGTTCCCATTTATTCAGCAGTGAATTGGAGCATCTCTCTGGAAATTTATACACAGCGATCTTCATCCTCCCACCTAAGATTTCAGTGAGACTCAAACTCAGAGCTCTCATGCACCTGCCCAATTCCTCATCAGCACAGCAAACATTCTAAATTCAAACTTCAAATTTTTCCTTCTATGAAAGGAAACCTTCTAATAGTTAAGAAACAAACTAAACAACTAACACTCTTGCAAAGTTTAAATAAAACTAATATCCCATGTATAACATTAAATATCTTCGGCTGGGCGCAGTGGCTCATGCCTGTAATCCCAACAGTCTGGGGGGCCGAAGCAGGCAGATCGCCTGAGGCCAGGAGTTCAAGACAAGCCTGGCCATGGTGAAACCCCTTCTCTACTAAAAATACAAACATTAGCTGGGCATGATGGTGCATGCCCATAATCCCAGCTACTCGGGAGGCTGAGGCAGGAGAATCGCTTGAACCCAGGAGGTGGAGGTTGCACTGAGCCAAGATTGCACCATTACACTCCAGCCTGGGCAACAAAAGTGAAACTCTGCCTCAAAAAAAAATAAAATAAAATAAATATCTTCTAGTATTCAAAAAATACTCACATACACATAATTGCTGAAAAGACATAACTTGTTTTTGAGTACAAGTCAGTTACTGTGGGGTAAATACTCTTCTATGGGCAATTACTAGCCAACTGACAATGGTCACAAACCATCTGACGAAGATGGTCCAGAATGAAATAATAACCTTGGGTTGGAATTCTGGTTCTGCCATTTGCCATCTTTATGACATTAGACTAGTCTAATGACTATTATCAGTAGTCATTCATACATGGTTATATTGGCAATTTATGACACTGATACTGAAAAAGACAGAATTATTGTTCACTGTTTTGAAACTTAAGTCTCAATCTGTAGATACTGAACTAGGAAATATAATATGTTTATATGCCTTATAAACATCTCTATTTACATTTTTATCTCTACTTACATTTCCATGAAAGAGTAGCACCTTACGGTATAGAAAAAGGAGAAAAAGCATCCAATATCCTCTTGAATGTTACAACTAGTAACTGTTATGCTTTTGGCTCATTGAAGACTATAGAGTTCATTGCATTTGTCATTTACTTCAGTGCCCTATAGAATTGATAAAGACAGGAAACGGAAATACTTGGTAGAAGAAGGCGGTTCTCCAGCAAACGCTCCACCCTCCAGCCTGGAAACTGGCAGCTCTAAATGAGAACAGGCCTTCCTGTTTTTGTGCTCAAATGTTGCCTTTTGGCCCTCTACGCGCCACAGTCCCTGTACCCATATAAACCCCAAACCCAAGGCTCCACAAGCAGATGAACGGAAGAGCAGAAGAGCAGCAGAGTGGTGCAGCAGAGAAGGACAGTAGAGAAGGAATGTCTGAACTTTGAGAGGAGTTCTGCTGGGGACAGTTGGAGAAGAGATTGGCCATGGGAAGATCATATTCCCACTCCATCCCCTTTCCAGCTCCCCATCCATCCCAGTCGTGGCTGAAAGTCATCTCCATTGGCAATGCAATAATATTCCCCACATTCACCATCCTTTAGTATGTCCGTGTGACCTGATTCTTCCTGGACGCTGGACAAGAACCCAAGTACCAAGAGGGCACTGAGCTGGTTAACACTTAAACCGTCTGTGAACAGAAGAGCTAAAAGAGCACTGTAACATGCCCACTGGGGCTTCAGATGTCACAGGCACCCACCTGTAGATGCTACCATGGGGCCAGAGCCCAAAATCACTTGCCCTGGCTCCTGCACCTACCTGTCTGCATGCTCCCCCTCCTGTAAGGGGTTTGAGTGCACAACAGCCAAACAGACAAGTTATACCCCTGTTGCATGTCCTGCAATGGGGGGGGGGGGTGGGGGTCAGGGAACTCTCCCGTTTCAGAATGCATTAGTCTGAAGAAAATTTAAGGAAGAGGTTTGTGCATGTGTGTATGTATGTATGCATGTATGTATGTATGTGCATGTAAAACTGATCAATCAATTGGCTCTTAAACTTCATTGTCAATCTGTCTCTTGAAGATGCACTGATTTTGAGTGATGCGATTTATTCCCATCTCTATCTTACAACCATTATGTTTCTCACAAACCATTAATCCCTCAAATCTGTTGAGATTAAATTAGTATCACATATACTGTAAACCACTAATATGATCAACAAGCAATAGTTACCTAAAATTAGCAAGAATATTAACTTTTAGGTGAAACAAGCAAACAAAATATATATAAATTAGAATCATGTTACCAGAAATAGTTAAATTTATACTCTACAATAGTGATGCATTTGCTTATGTTTTATGCCATATGTTTATTTATTTGACATAGAGCCTTGGTTGCTGATTTTAGAATATTGTGCTTAGGACAGAATTAAGATACATGCAAGAGAAGGGCACTGTTTATTTATAAAGCTTTACTGAGTGTCCATCTATGTAGATATGTTGCTAAATAACCCAAGTTCGGGACAGTATAATATCTCTTATAAACATTAAATATCTATGAAAGACTGCCGGGAGGTAACCAGCACGTTGGCATCACAGTGTCAGACCATTCTCCATCAACAGTGACTTCAGTAGGCTTTGCTGTGAGTCTTCAAAGTCAGGGTGGGGGCTGTGCACTAAGTGCTAGAAGAGCCTCCTGGAATGGAGCTGTCTCTTGAGGCCATCTAGTACATGGACCACAAGGAATGAATTATAATGTGGCTTCTATAAAGGAAAAGAGTTATTCTCTCTCTTTTATTCTCTTCTAAATGTGTGAAAAGAGCAATTGTATCCCTGAAGAAATTTCAAGTGCCCTAAAAAAGAAAGTTAAAAAAAAAAAAGAGCTCAACTTTCTGGGTTTCTATATATCTTAATATTTAAAAACACCACAGTATATATGAATATGAACAAAATAACTTTAAACCTTTTCCATCAAAACAAAACCTCAAAAAACCAATATTGACGCATAATGCTTAAAATAGTACTATGGCGCTATAGTGAGTCCCATGTTTTACTACTAAAAATTACATTCAGTTTAGGCTCTCCTCCTATCAAAAGATGCCTTGTGCTAATTTATTAGTCGCTTATTTGTGGTTTGAAACCAAAGTGGAGTTTACAATTTCATTTCTTTGTGAGTAGATCAGCAACTGCAGTTCATTTTAATAGTATGAGTTGCACCAATCATACAATCCTTAAGTGATAAATCTGAAAAACAAAAGGGATTAAAATAAAAGGAGTCCCTTAAAAGCCCAGCCCGGAGGCAAATGGAGTAGACATTTACCCAACTGAAATTCAGTTGATTTTTTAAAGCACATTTTTCAGTGGTTTAGGGAAACTGACATTGTCTTTGTTGGTGTTTTACAGAGGCATTTATTTTTAGTTATACAGCTGAAACTCTCCAGCCCAATGAACTGTGGTTGTCTGTGGTATATTCAGCAGAAGGGAGAAAAAAAAAAAAGACGTTTTGCCATTATTTCTAAAAATATCAGTGACATGTCAGGGTCATCATCTCTATGTTAAGAACTATGGAGAGTTAGAGAGAGATGAACTTACGTCTTTCACACTCAGCATCTTCAGTGCAAATAAAATTTTAAAAGAACCCTTCACAGTTTTTAAGCTGAATCCCCATCTCAATTCAAAATATTAAAGCCAGTCTACCTAAAACAAATGGTATAGCTGGAAAAATAGTGGGAGATGGCTTATATTGGAATTCTATGTGGGGTATGAAAATGGTTTTAAACCAATAGTATTTTATTAATATCTATAATGTAATACATAATGCTATACATTTAAGATATCATAAACATAATGTATTACAAACATTGGATGATGCGCTTTAGAGATTGGATGGGCTGCTGCATTGGGAAAAATTTCAGGCTAGATGTGGCTCTAACTAAATTTTCAACTTGGGACCAATTACTTAACCTATCTGGACCTCAGTATTCTAAACTCAGATGTGAGAGGGTGTATCTCTATTGCTCTTTCAAAATTGAAATGCTTTAGAAATGGAAGAGGAAATATATGATCCTTCCACTCAATGTGTCGTATTTTTCATAAAAGACACAAAAGTTTATTTGATGTTTGTATATATATATGCGTTTGAGTGTGTGTTGTGTGTGTGTGTGCGTGTGTGTGTGTGTGTGTGTGTGTTTATCTTTATATACAAGGAAATGCAGAATGGTCTGAGGACCTATCTAGTTTATGAGAGATTTGCAAACTGTAAATAAGAAGTAAGCAAATATTTAGGAAATTTACTTATGGGTCACATTGGTTATGTTTTCAATGTGTGTATTACAGTTTACATGGCTGATTACAAAAGAAAATTTGTCACTGCACACCCATTGGGATGGCTACTTTAAAGAAAATTTTAAATAAAGAAAATAACAGGTGTTGGTGTGTATGTGGAGATATTGGCATGCTTATGCACTGTTGATGGGTATGGAAAATGGTATGATCAGTATGGAAAATAGTATGACGATTCCTTAAAAAATTAAACATATTATTATCCTCAATTCACTGATAACATATGGTCTGGTAATCCCATTTGGGGGTATATACCCCAAAGGATTGAATATAGAGTATGAGAGAGATATTTATACAACCATGTACATAGCAGCATTATTCACAGTAGCCAAGAGGTAGAAAGAAGCAACTCAGGTGTTCAGTAACAGATGAATCAAGAAACTAACTGCAGTTTATACCTACAGTGGGATGTTCTTCAGCCTTCAAAAGGAAGGAAATCCTGGCATGTGCTACAACCCAGATGAACCTTGAGAACATCATGCTCAGTGAAATAAACCAGACCCAAAACAACAGATATCGTAGGATTCCCTTTACATAAGGTACCTGAAGAGTTAAATTCATAGAAACAAAAAGCAGACAATGGTTTCCAGATGGTATGGGAAGGGGGAAATAGGGCAGTTATTGTTCGATGGGTGAAGGGCTTGTTTTTCAAGATGGAAAGAATCCTGGAGATGCATGGTGGTGACAGTGGCACAACAATGTGACTGTACCTAACACTACTGAACCCCTAAAAATAGTTAAGATGGTAGATTTTATGTTATGTGTTTTACCATAATTAAAAAGAAAGAAAATTGGACTTGAACTTGAATGCACTTGTTATTTTTAATGCAAACAGTATTTCATAGCAGATAAGAAGACGGATTCTGGAACTAGATTGCCTGCTTTTGGATCCTGGCTCCAGCTTTCACCCACAGTGTGCTACTTTGGATCAGTTATTTAAACTGTCTGTGACTTCTTTTTCTCATCAGTGAATCGAGGATAATAATAGTATTTTCTTCATAGAGGTGTTGTAAGGATAAAATGTGTTTATATAATAAAGCAGTTAGAAAACTGTCTGGCAAATAATAAGCATGTTGTTAGTGTTGTATTTTGTTATTATCAGTGTTTTTACTACTAATAAAATTCTGTTGAGATGTAGTTTTCTATGCATGACGTCAGCTTTACTTTCTTAGATATGGCCATAAAAATCCTTTTCACTTGTTTGACATTTTGAAATCACTCAGCATTATAACCAAAAATGTCTTTTTTTTTTTTTTTTTTTTTTGTTTTTTTGAGACGGAGTCTTGCTTTGTCGCCTAGGCTGGAGTGCAGTTGCATGATCTCAGTTCACTGCAACCTGTGCCTCCCGGGTTCAAGGGATTCTCTTGCCTCAGACTCCTGAGTAGCTGGGATCACAGGCACGTGCCACCACACCCAGCTAATTTTTGTATTTTTAGTAGAGACAGGGTTTCACCATGTTGCCCAAGCTGGTCTCGAACTCCTGATCTCAGGTGATCCACCTGTCTCGGCCTCCCAAAGTGCTGGGATTACAGGCGTGAGCCACCGTGCCTGGCACTGAAAATGTTGACTGACCTTAAACAAATGATAAAAATTACCAGTTTTAGTTTCTTATTTATTGTGTATAACAATGTTTATTTTTAAATAATTTAAAAGTTTGGGAATGTAAAGAACCATTCCAAAAGAGCAACACTGACTTCTCTGACCTGAAAAACTAGCTATATCACCAAGTCTAAGACAATTAGTAAAATGTCGTATTAAAAAAAAATCAAGTTGCCTTAGCTGCCTCTCTTTTTCCCAAATGACTGCATTTGAAAATGCTTGTAGTTATTGGCATATGCATGTTTGGTAAATATTTTGCTTAAAAGATTCCTGGAAAGTAAAAACTCTCTCAATGACTTAGGAATGGGATGTTACACTAACTCAGATTAAAGTCTCTGAGGCAAATGTTTATTTACTTACCAGAAAAAGAACAGAAATGTTGTCATTGTTTTGGTGTGTATGGTATAAAATAGATTGTTTTCAAAGTTGCTGGAGAGTGGGTTCTTTCAAGAAGTACTTTGTCATTTTGCATAGGTTTGGGGAGACAGAGAAGAGACTTTAAAAGCAGAAGGCTGGTCGGGCGTGGTAGCTCATGCCTGTAATCCCAGCACTTTGGGAGGCCGAGTGGGCAGATCACCTGAGGTTGGGAGTTCGAGACCAGCCTGACCAACATGGAGAAACCCCATCTCTACTAAAAATACAAAATTACCCGGGCATGGTGGCGCATGCCACCCATGTAATCCCAGCTACTAGGGAGGCAGGAGCTACTCAAGGCAGGAGAATCGCTTGAACCCGGGAGGTGGAGGTTGCGGTGAGCTGAGATTGCGCCATTGCACTCCAGCCTGGGCAACAAGAGCGAAACTGTCTAAAAATAAAATAAAATAAAATAAAATAAAATAAAATAAAATAAAATAAAATAAAATAAAATAAAATAAAAAGCAGGTCAGTGAACTTAAATTATCTAACTCTTATAAGGTTTTGCAATATGATTCCATATGTTTTAGAATGATTGGTCTACTAACTAAATCACCTCCTAATGTAACTGAGGCTTTCTACTTTCTTATGATTTTAGAGGGGACTGATAGAGATATCAAAGGAGAGAGGAGAGAATGTTCCAAGATGGCTCTGAGGCTAAGGAGGAAAGAAGCCATCAAAATAATTTTTACATTTTTGTCTAAGGTAAGAAAGGCCGGTGAGAAGAAGCCATCTGCTTCAAACCACGACTGGAAACAGCAGAGTGGACTGAGAAATTCTCACGCTTGTATTTAGCTGTGGTAACATCATTCTCCCAGAGAGCAGCCTAAATCAACCACAGCGCTTTTCGGAGCTGCAGCATGACTTATGAATGTGGATATTCACATATTGGAGAACATATACTTTTAATATTATCTGCCTGAACCTGATGAACAGATGGCATAAACCAAAATCAGCTTACCACAAATAAATATACAAAATGAAAATTAGATGGATGAAAACTAAAATTTGATGCTTTTTATATTAAGTCGAAATTAGAAATAGATAAGCTCATTTATGTAGCTAATAAATTGAAAGCAGAACATCCATCTTGTGTAAAAAGAAATACTCTGAAATGGAAATTAATATCCTAGTGGATAAATTCTTTGAAGCACAGTTACCTCTAGCTAGTCTACATTTTGTCTGAAAATGATGTTTTTACTAAAATACACAGTAAAACCTCTGGAATAAAGGCATAGTACATTTAAAAACCAGATGTGTGTGTGTGTGTGTATTCATAGCAACAAGAAATGGACTTAGTAAAGATAATTATTTTTGCTTGGAAAAGAATTAGAGGTTGGATTAAGTTCAATTTGATTCATCAGTGCTTATTAGATACCAACTACATGTAAATTCCTGCTATAGAATAAAACATAAAGATCATTAACTACCTATGGAATAAAATTAAGTAATGTAAAATATTAAGTTCTCCTCTTCCTCCCCAGAATGCTCAAAGTGGTTTGGGGTTCCTATTGACTGGAGTGTAAATAAGTAACTGGACACAGTGGGTCATCTCTTCCAAGGATGTGTCCTGTTCCATACTGCCAGTTTTGAGATTTTTTAGAGTCATTAACCAAGAGTGAACACCTCTATCCCTTTCTACCTAGACTTCATGGTAGAATCTATTAGAGACGTTGTCTCTAAAATTTAGAGCATGATAGTCCCTCTTAAGGATAGTCAAAGTGAAAAAATTAGTAAGACCTCTCAAAATTCATTCAAAATTCATGATTTTGTTGCTCTTTTGAACCTCATAAGGACAATAAATTGGTGCCCTCTCATCATCTTGCTACCAGAGACACTCTAGATTATTATATGGACAATCTATGAAATTGATTTGTAATAAATGTCTGTTGGAGGTCAAGGTGCAGCTAAGAGCAGCTGGGTGTCTTTTGAAAAAAGGTCGTGGCTGTTGCATACAAACAAGCTTGAAAACTATAATCACCCTTGAACGGTCTCTTGGTCAATGACAACTTAAAAGCTATATAAACCCAAGGAGAATTGGGGAGGCACAGAATAGCCTTTAAAAGCAAGAGCCAAATGAACTTGAATGATCAAAGATAACTGGGACAGCATATTCAGTTAACTTATTTATCAACTAAAATTAATGTACTGACAAATTAAAAGCAACAGTGAATTACATGCATTCCCTATCTGGCAGAGACATCACTTGGAAAAAAAATAAAAAAGAAGATGGATAATGAAATGTTTTATTTTAATGTTCCCAGGAGATACATTTGAAAAAAAAAAAAAACTACACATACATCAACAACAAGGGGATAATCCAGGCCAATGACTCCTAGAAATGAAGCATTTCATCATACAATCTTTTTCAGGAAATTCGATATTTTATTTGGATTGACATGAGATACCTGTTTCAAAGAAGAGCTGCATTTTCATTTCAAAGCTCAGAACAAAATCCAAATGATGAACTGTATATTTGTTGTTTGACTATTTAGGTATTTTATTGTTCTAGTGTTCACTCGGTGAACAAGAAACTCCATATAAGAAGGAATTCCTCCTGCTTCTCAAAATAAAGAATTAAACATTAATGAGTCTACACAACACTTGGAAGCATGGCATGAAGACAGGAAGAACAGATAAATTTGAACATTGGTAAGATCAGAAAGGAATCTATGGATTAATTCTTGATCATATATTGATTTGCTTCACAACACTGTGGGCCAAAAGAATAAATTCTCTTTTTTGGGGAGGATATGCATTCTTTCACTACTCTCTCCCTTATTTCTGGTAACAGCATTTCACTTCCCCTTGAAGAAGCATCCCTTGCCCTGGTTTAGTCAACATCATTTGGGAGAGGACAACTCCATCACAGGCTTTCATCATGGACATGTAACTCAGGCTTGGATCATCATAGCCATAGTGATTCAGAGGTGAATAGTCCCTGAAACCAAGCCCGTAGGAGTCCCTGGACTTTTGTGGGAAATATGGTAGAATACAGATCTGATGTAACTGTTAGCCAAAGCTCCTGAGAAAGGTCAACCTGGAAGAAAAGGTAATATAGAGGAAAATAGAACCAACGGTTGAGTGGATGGGAAAGAGATGGGGCAGGGCGAGGAGAGAGAGAAAGACAGAAATACAGACACACACACATACACATGCATGTGCACACATACACACAAAGAAATACAGACACACACATAAATATGTGTGGGTGTGCATGCACACACACAGAGATGAGAAATACAGACACATACACACGTGTGCACATGCACACACACACACACACACACACAGTTATTTCTAGTGCCATTATTTTTTTAACTCTGTTTTAAGCCATGCCTGAAGCCATCCATATTGACCCCTTGATCTTCTTAATTACATAAGCCAACAAATTCCCTTTCATGCCTATGATCATTTGAGCTGCTGTTCTTCTCATTTTAAACAGTAAACATCCTGACTAGTACAGCAATACAGATTTGAGAATGAGCAGTATATGCCTGTTGGAAAGGAAAGAAAATGTTCCCACCCTCACCAGCTTTCCAAGAACAAATTCTGTTCTTATATTACTGAGGAATGATTCAAGGGCATTGTGCTACTCCTCTGTCATGCCTTTAATATACCTTTCTTGGTGATCTCCTGTGACCCCATAATATGATTATGGGCACTGATGATTTACAAGAAGTGAAAATTCAATTGGAATGATTCAAAAGTGATTTTGATAAACTATAATCTGGGGGACATGCGTATTCTTGAAATACACATTTTCATTGATTACCCATGTCCCTAAGTAGTGAAGAGATGGAAAATTATAAAGCTTAAAACCATTATAGACAGGAATGCAGGAAGACTTTAAAACATGCTAGTAATTTGTTAGAGTGTGATGCACCTAGCAAATATTCCAAAATGAATCTGAATTCCTGCATGCCAAAATAACCACAGAAGAAAATCGAATGTTGAGATGAGTGGATGTTTTAACTGAGTTGATGTTTACACATTGGCTCAATTTACAGTTCATGGGCCTAGTCCCTACATTATCCATTCTTTTGATCTTGAATTGGGACAAATTTGAACTCTAGAGCCTGTTCTCTCCCTGGACTATGAACTAAATGAGGACAAAAGAGGTAAAAGAAACCTTGGAAAGTCTCTAATTTAATGGCTTTTCTTAAAAATGAAGAAACTGAGTCAAGAAAAGGTGCAATATGATTTGTCCAAAGTCACACAACCAGTGGATGATACAATCATTCACAAGTTTCCTGTCTTTTATTTTGATAATGAGATTCACAGATGTTCACAATGTGATGTCTTCCTATCCCGGGAAAGGGACAAGTAAGTCTTTTTTACTCAAACAATAGTGACTGGGCATGCTTAACCATTTCTTTCTTCAATTAGAGGAGATGACAGATTGGTGGAAGATGTGTTTTCTTAGATAAAAATTGGGCCATTTCAACAAAACAAATGCATTAGAAAGAGAATTTTTGAGTCTCTACATGAACTGGAAAGCTTTAAAAACTCCATTTAAAAAAGTATTTAACCTGTTGTTCCTATTTTCTATTTTACTCAGTTATGTAAGGAACTGAAGCTTCCAAAGGCAGTTACAATATATTGTCAGGTTCTCTCTCTGGGCTGTTTTCTATTTCTCACCCCACTTTTCTTGTGCTCTCTCTCTTCATCCATGGAAATCTGACATGCTGTCAAAAACTTCACCTTCTCATTCAACTACCCACTCAGCTACAGGAATTCATTTACATGTCTACAGCTGCCATACCAGTGTTTTTTTTTTTAAATATATATATATATATATATATATATATATAAATCATACTTTAAGTTCTAGGGTACATGTGTACAACGTGCAAGTTTGTTACATATGTATACATGTGCCATGTTGGTGTGCTGCACCCATTAACTTGTCATTTACATTAGGTATATCTCCTAATGCTATCCCTCCCCGCTCCCCCTACCCCACAACAGGCCACGGTGTGTGATGTTCCCCTTCCTGTGTCCAAGTGGTCTCATTGTTCAATTCCCGGTGTGTGTTAATAAGAATCTGAGCTCGTTATTAGTGAATCTGATTGAATGTCATAAAAGAGGTGTTAAACTAGAAACAACCATGCATTCTTGTTCTCAGTAACCCAGGAAGGCCATTTTGAGAAAGACATACATTCAGTTCTCCTTTCCAATTCTCAGAACACTGCACTTTCATCACATAACAATTGTCACTGATGCAATGGAAAACTATGGCATCCTTGGATTCTAGGCTTCTCTTAGCCACAAACTGGCTGTCGCCCTGGGAAACCCACATCTTTCCTCTGGACTTCTGTTCCCAACCATAAGAGAAGAGGTAAAGTTGGGCATTTCTTTACTCATGAGTCTGACAACTATATCCCTGACTTGCGTATAATGCACTAGTGAGAGAAGACAAGAGAGCCATAACAGACCCTCCTCCCACGGAACCTTCCAGTCTAGGACCACACTCATCTCTAACATTCAATAAACATACATTTGTAAAGAGTCAGCTTTTCAGGAAATGTTGAAATAAGTTGTCCGTCACCCCACTCAGAAGCCAGAAGCAAGTACATAGCTGATTTGAGCCAATATTTCCAATTCTATTAGATCGTTTCTTAAGTCTAAACTTTATTTTTTTAATAAGTCACTATTATTTATCTACAAAGAACTATGTAGGCAATGTTTTATGCTCTGATATAGTTCTTTTTAAGTTATAGAAAACTCCATCACCTTTCTCCCCCAATTTTGAGGAAACTTTCACTCACCACCACCTTTTTAAAAAATCAGTTGCTGCCAGACGCGGTGGCTCATGCCTGTAATCCCAGCACTTTGGGAGGCCGAGGAGGGTGGATCACAAGGTCAGGAGATTGAGACCATTCTGGCTAACACTGTGAAACCCTGTCTCTACTAAAAATACGAAAAAATTAGCCGGGCGTGGTGGCAGGCACCTGTAGTCCCAGCTACTTGGGAGGCGGAGGCAGAAGAATGGCATGAACCCGGGAGGCGGAGCTTGCAGTGAGCCCAGGTCGCGCCACTGCACTCCAGCCTGGGTGACAGAGCGAGACTCCGTCTCAAGAAAAAAAAAAAAAATCAGTTGCTATAGGGCATCTGCTCCTGAAAGCACCCTTGAGATAGAAAACGTCATCCCAGAGGTCTCGGACAAGTGTGAAAACTAAAGGGGAATAGCATGACAAGATTAGGAATGCGGCCTGGACTATTCTTTTCTGTTTCTCTTATTTCAACACAGAATCCCTAACTTCAGAAACTGGTCCTTCACCCAGATAAGATAAATCTGAATAATATTAAGTAGAAGAACATTCTGAAAGCAGAGGCCCAGGTAACTGAAGCACGAAGACAAAGACCCTTTGCATCGTTTTCAATCGCTCCTTCCCAGCACCACACTGTCTAGTCATATAAAACTGTAATTGAAACCATGTGGTGTGTGCAGAGGGCTCATTACAGGCTCCTTCTGAGTAATCTCATGGCGGAGTCCTGTGGGGAGGCTCTGACAATCTTGGGGTCAAGATATCGTCGCTTAAATATGAGAAACGGCACACCAACTTGCCTCCTCAGGGAAAACAGAACTAGCTTGAATTTAGAGTGTGCAGATAAATACTTCTGTTACCAAGTACATCTTCATTATTTAATGGACATCCTGTACAGAAGTGGAAATACATTTTACGAAACAGTTTAGTGATTCATTTTGTAATACAAAGGTAACAGTTATAACAATTTTTGAAATAATGATTTTTATGATAAAAAAATAAGAGACTGTACAGTCTTGCAAAATATCATATTAACAACGGATATCAACACATTAAAGAGTCAGAACAGTGAAATATGATGTGATATTAATAGTAATATCCCACAGAGAAACATCCTTAGCTTTTGACTAATAAGTCATACCACCCAGTAAGGTATCTAATGTAGCACAGAGTGAAAGTCATGAAAACTAAACTGAGCTAATGCTGACTGAGAATGAGGGGAAAGTTGAGAACATACATGCTGATTTAAACCTGAGGCTTCCTTGTGAGCTGAGATCATTTGGGGCCCTAGAAGTATTATACTTGCTTTTTTTTCTAATCCTCCCTCCATTCATTATTTTTAAATATTAACTAACTTAGAACCATCCATGGACCTCAAATATAAGGTAGACATATATAAAAAAGTCAAAGAATAAGCTTATAGAGTTTTACTTTCTATATATACCCACCATGAATTCAAGAAATATTTACTGAGCATCAAATAAGAGATACAGTTCTTGGTGCAAGTGAAATAACGAGAAATTAGACAAAGTCGTTGTTCTTATGGGGCTTATATTCTAGAAGGAGAGAGGTCATTAACAGACAAACAAATATGTTCTGGAAATAATAAACAATAAGGGAAATATGACTGCATGTGTTAAGGGATACTGACATTGTGGAAGAGACTTTGAACTGTCTACTCAAGGGCTATCAAAACATGTCTTATGAAAATCCAGGGAACAATGTTCCAGTCATAGGGGAAAGCAGGTACCAAGACCCTTGAACAAAAAATGAGCATGCATTTTTTGAGGAAAATAAAAGTAGTTTTTAAATAGAGAGAAAAAAGAAGAGAGATAATATTTAAAATTAGAACAGTAGACAGGGGAAAGAATATAAAGATATTTAAAAGTTATGTAAACTAATTTCCCATCATCCATCCATCCATCCATCTAGCCACGCATTCATCCATCCACCCACCAACTGTATACCTTATATTCAACAAAGGGAATGCTTCATTTCCTTTTTTCTTTTTTCTTTGAGTCAGAGTTTCACCCTGGTTGCCCAGGCTGGAGTGCAATGGCGGGATCTCAGCTCACTGCAACCTCCGCCTCGCAGGTTCAAGCGATTCTCCTGCCTCAGCCTCCTGAGTAGCTGGGATTAAAGGTACGCGCCACTATGCATGGCTCATTTTTGTATTTTTAGTAGAGACAGGGCTTCACTGTATTGGTGAGACTGGTCTTGAACTCCTGGCCTTAGGTGATCCACCCACCTTGGCCTCCCAAAGTGCTGGGATTACAGGCATGAGCCACTGCACCTGGCCCCATTTCTTTTCTTTTCATTATAAAATTCTGTTTTCACTCAGTATACATGTGAAATTAGAAAGCACCAAACTATAAAAGACTACAATTATTTTAAAAACTGTCTTTATCTATCTATCTATCTATCTATCTATCTATCTATCTATCTATCTATCTATCTATCTATCTGCATATCTTTAGGGTATGCACACTCTGCCACAAACATAGCTCAGCCATTGTTACAGTCCAGAAGGTAACCTTCACTCTTGTTGAGGCGTTATGTCTGCAGGGGGCTGGAGCCACCGCACATGGGAGCCTGGAAGCATCCCACCCACCTTCACCTCCTGCTCACCATAAATCCTCATTATCATGTTGTCAGCACTGGAGTGTGTTAACCTCTTCAGTGACCAGGCTGTCAGGTAAGATCTGCTTATTAATTTGCCAATGCTTCATTTCATTGTTGTCTGAAACATCAAACAATATTTTTTTCATCCCAAGGACTAGTGCTAAGTACCGCAGGAAAAGCAGCAAGGAAATATCACACTTGCCTACAAGCTTTAGCTTTTACATCTAAATTGGCCACATTACAATTTTATTTGGAAAATTAATTTAAAAGTTTCTATTTTTGCATACCAATTTTTTTTTTTTACTGTCAACATTTAGAAACAAATAAATGCCTTATCACAGAGATAAGAAGGCACAACTAAAATTCCTTTATAGGTTAAAAACAGTAAGGACACATATGAAAGTAAAGTATCTTTACAGGTGTGGGCTCTTGTTTTTCCTTTATATTTTTGCATTGCCCCGCTTCTTAGAATAGGTTAAGAACCACAAGAACTTGGCTTAGCAAATCTTTTTCTAATCATCCTTCAGCCACCATGGAAACTCATACACAAGTTTACCAGCATGCATTATAAAGTGATATTACTGAAATTAAGGAATTCGAGTTCCTATTTATTTGAGCATGTAAACTTTCTCGGTACGTTCCTGCAAAACCAGTTTCCCTGGTAATAAATGCATTTAATTTTCATTCTAACATAGTATGTATTGCTTCCTGGTGCTATGTGTTGGCTGACAGCATCAGCTTTTGCACATCCCTAATCAAATTTTATCTAACAAAAAGCTGAACTAAGCATATTTGTTTTCCTATTTATAGCAGCATATGCTTACCTAACATACGAGATAGCAAGATACTTTTTTTTCAAAAACCGATCCAAATCTTAAAATGCATCCGTTATGTTTAGTTTAAATAAAAGCTATGTTCTCCCATTAAACAAGAATATTAAAAACAACTGGAGACAGACAGACGCTTATTGCTTATTTTCCAACCAGTATAATCACTGTGTCGAGCCACAATAAAATAGAACAGCAGGCAGAAATTTATTGCTCGTGGTGAAAACTTTCTTCCACCACCCTCACCATTTGCACAATTGCCCTGGCACTAACTCCCCTTTCACATCCATGGTGTCTTTGGTCGCACTGGTACAGTAATGAATTATTACAATGCAGCCAGTAGGGGTGGGGGGACATGCCATTGTGCTGCATATAAGCAGCGATTTTGCCATATCAATAATTCTGACTGCCACTGGGAACCACTGTAGCTGAAGCAGATGTTTCATGTTGATAAGTAGGGACTGGGAAAGGAATTTTTATCCCACTGTTCATTTTTCTCTATTTCCACTACCCATACCTGGCAGCAGCTCCTCCAGTACAGCTGTCTCTTGCAAGCCAATCTGTTCAATCCAGGCTCCTAGGTCTCATTTCATAAATCAAACTCAGCCCTGGACAAGCCCACAATCTCAGAGTACCCTTGCCACTTTCCTCGGTGGAAACGCCTCTGTCACAATGAGAGATGCTGGGCCAATTGTACTTAAATTAGTGCATTGTCACCATTCATTAAGAAAGACAGCATGGGCAGGGGATCTTTTCTGGTATTCTACATTAACTGTTTAGTAGAGAGAGAGGCACATATGTGGCATTTTTCACAAGGCATTCACCTTCAAATGAAGCATTTGGGAGAAAGCCCAGAATTTCCAGGGGGAAGCAGTTCCATGTGGTATGAATGGGGTCAGGTGTTACTCTTCAGGTTTGCAAAGCACTCCTTGGCCCCTTTTACTGGAAATAAAACTTTACTGGCTGAGCCTCACGTAAGAGATCCTCACCCAAGTCAAAGTTGTAACAACTCAGTAGTTCTTCAAGGATCAAGTAAAATTGTTAAATTCTCTACGGAAAAGAAAAACCAAACAAGCAAAGAGAAACAAACGAACAAAACCCAGGTCCAAACTATTTTAATACACATTAATGTAGAATAATTTAAATGTACTTTTAACATATTTAAATAACCAAGTACACATCATATAGTAATAATTTAAAACAGCTACTATTTATTAAGTGCCAGGGCTAGGGCCAGGGTTTGTGCCAGATTCTTAGCACATGTTGCTTTATTTAATTCAAACAATAATCTTTAGAATGGGATTTGCTATCTGTATTTCATAGGATAGAAATTGAGGCTGAGGGAGGCTCTGAGGCTAACCTAGAGGCACACAGAAGCTTTAGATCCAGGTATAGTACAATATAAATTCCACACACTCAGTCATTTGTTATACAGTTTGGAACATTCCAAATCTGAAAACCCCAATGTGAAATGCTTCCAATTCCAAAACTTCTTAAGCACCACATGATGCTCAAAGGAACCCTCATTTGGAGCATTTCGAGTTTTGGATTTTTGGATTTGAGATGTTCAACTGGTATTATACAAATATTCTAAAATCTAAAAATTATAAAAAATCTGAAAAACTTCCGGCTCCAAGCATTTCAAATAAAGGATACTCAACCCATAACTAATACCTAGAAAGTATCTGTATGTATGTCTGTGTGTGTGTGTGTGTGTGTGTGTGTGTGTGTGCGTGTTTCAAAAACTGAGATGGGGTGAGTAAAAAATTAAGACACTAGCTAAGTCACAAAAGTTAGACATCACATGGGTACAAATCCCCCCCCCCAAAAAAGTTGATAGGTTTACTCCATAACTTTTACAACTTTATTGCATGTTTGAAGGTATTCATAACAAAATATGTTGGGGATAAAATGTTATGGGTAACAGTTCAGGCAAACTAAGAATAAAACAAAGTGAAGGTAGTTTTCTGGACTTCTTATACACAGCAACGGATCAGTTCCAAGTCACATATTAGAATGGTATAAGAAATTAACAGTGTAACTGGCCCAAGAAATGTGTGGATACAGCTTTAGATGATAAACTTTCCAAACTAGATGAAGGAGTGATTTAATCAATGCCAAACAGAGAAAATGGGGTGCTGGGCCACTATTTGTATGTGTAGATCTCTTCCAGGCTTTAGAGGTAGAGGACCAGGAGGGAATGCTTACATGCACTGATCACAAGATTTTTCAGCCTGGTCTGGATGGATCTCATCAATAGGTGAGAGATGAGAGAGACAGTCTTTCAGTGTTCACTCGCCTTTCAGAGTCCAGGAGGAGAAAAACCTTTGACAAAACACTAAATTCAAACTGTGTATAAATATTTTATCCCAGTTCAAAGCACTTTTATTTAAATATCAGTCTTTATTTAATATATTTGCCAACAAGTGATTACCCGGAAACAAGAAGATAATTTTTGAAGTGGAGTAGCTTCCCTCCCATTGCCCAGCTTATCACTAGATCAGCAGCTGAAAATGTCCACCAAACCCTAGGGGAGATTAAACATTTCATCACAGCATTATTATCCACAATGACACCATTTAGCCATGGCAATTAGCACGTACATAAGCACCAAGAAGAAACCAGGCCAGACTGAACAGACTGTGGTCAAGAGTCCTACAATGAAATGGCTTCTCTCCCTTTCTCTTTCTGCTCCATTTGTGGCGTCCAGACCAGGGACGGTTTGGGCAGTTACACCATTGAGTGAGGGATGTCCCAGCCAAAACTTTCCATCTCCCAGACAAGCAATGGCAGAGGGGCTGGAAAACCACAGGCTGTGGACTCTTAAGACCTGGTTCAATCCTGCCTTTTTTACACTGCCTATAGGATATTCTAGGGTTGTGACTCAACCTTTTAGCTTTCTCATAGGTGAGACTGATATTGTAGGGTTATTGGGAGGATAAAATGTATGTACAAGTTCCATTTAAAACAATTTTTAGTTATTTGCTGCTGACTTCTCATAGTCTATAACTTTGCATTGGATAAAATTGCTATGCGGCTTTGAAATTACTTGCTTACATAATGTTTCCCTTCCTGGGCTGCATGCACATCAAGGGCAGGACAAGAGCTTTACTCATCTCCAATCTACCTGCCCAACAACAAGACAACACCTGACACTCTCTCTCTCTCTCTCTCTCTCTCTCTCTCTCTATATATATATATATATATATATATAATCATATGGTTTATAATAAGCCTGACATATAGTAAGTATCTTCGGAATGAACAAACATGATTGGCTTACACTTATCTCTGATGATGAATGCTCTAGACAATGCATTTGCTAATATTGGTATTATTTATTTACACATTAAATGGGGAAATGTAGGGATATCAAAAGATGCTTTTGGATACTACTACTATCAATACTACTACCACTACAAGTGCTACTACTATTACAAGCAGGTAATATTGAGCTATTTGCTACATACCAGGCTTTTCTAAGTGCTTAATATATAATAACTCTTAATGCTCAAATCAACCCTAGCAAATAGGTAACATTATTGTACTTATTCTTCCAAATGGGAAAACAGGCTCACAGACTTAGAACCTGTGATCACTTTGATGTGTAAGTGATGAGAAAATGTGTATAATAAAGTGTCTGTACTGAGTTTGATCACACTTGCTTGGGGGCCGTTTCCTAGAATCGTATTTTCAGTATAATAATCTGTTTTAATACTTGCCCCAATGCTCATTTATTGCAAAAGTTTACTGAGCTTTTACCCAGTGCCAGGTACGTAGGCTACAGATTAGAAAAGACACAGATTCCCATCATATTCCTGGTTCAGCATAAACTCTTACTAGCATAAAATTACTACAAACAATATAGTAAAAACTAATGAATTGGTGAATTGCAACAAGTTTTGGAAGAGGAATCTGGTTTTATTCATTGTAGGATCAGTAACCTACTTCTATAGGTTCTTTCTCTACGTGAAGTATAAGTAGGGATGCATCTTTCAACTTGAGTTTGTTTCAGGTGTGATTATTTCTGTTCTTATTTTAGATATTTGCCAACAGTAATTTCTGATTTGCCTTCCAGCAATTCATTAGTTTTATACTGACTTTTAGTTGTCCCCAAATGTCTGAATTTTCTTAGTTAACAGCTTGTTCATTTGTTACATGTGAAAGTCACCAATGTAATTTTTGTCATGGCAGAATTAAGGATTGTGTGTGTGTGTGTGTGTGTGTATGTGTATGTGTGCATGTGTGCATAAGCAAATGTGTATGACTTTGAGACATATCTACTGGATATTGGAAGTGTAGAAATATAAAAGAAAGTTAATATTGTGTTTCTCAAGACTTTGATGGTGGTTCTTCTTTATGACAAAGACATGCTATTAAAATATGAGGCTCGTAGTATTTTCTTGAATCAGTAGAATCTCTGGAGACTATCTTACTTATCTACCACCATAATAATAGTCACTACAAATTAAGGAAATATAAAATATAATTATTAAACATTTATGTGCCAATGAATATGCTAATATTTTAGGGCTATTTTAAGTAAGACTTTTTGAACTTAATGAATTAACTTACTGGGATAAAAAAACAGATGTTTTGCGTAATCATAAGACAGATTTCTTACCATTAAATTAAACACTACAAAAATCCATAAACCATAATTTAACTGTCTTTTTTAATTTTAAAAGTTAAAGAGTTACTGTGTAAAATAAGTCCCCTGTTTTCAAGTTAAAGGTGACATTATTTTAATAATAAATTAGAAAACATAGGAAACAAAATACATGGTTTAAATTAATGTTTACTGTGAGGCAAAACATATTTCAGAAGTACTTATACTATTATCCTCACCTCTTTTAGGACAAACAAAAATATTTTATAAACTTAGAATTTCATTATAAGCTTCCAACAATTATAATCCATCTGCTAAGAGAATTACTAAAAGTTCTTTAAATGTTTCAAGGTAATAAAAGCACAGAATTCACATAGCTATTAACAATCAAACTTTCAAATGAAGTCTACGGCAGGTTCCACCAGGGATCAGTAACCCTTTTCTGCAAAGGGCCAGAGAGTAAAAATTCTAAGTTTAGCATCAGATGGTCTGTTAGAACTTTTCAACTCTGTCTTTGTGGGACAAGAAAGCATAGACAATACATAAACGAATGGGATTTTCTTAATTTGTTCTAATAAAACTTTATCTACAAAAACAGGCTTGAAGCTGGATTTGGTACCCGAGCACTAATTTGCCAACCACTACTAGATCAGCATTATGAAGTGCATGAGGAAGCCGGCCATACTGCATGCCAACTCTCTGGTTTCATGACTCATTATTTCAAAGGATAAAGCAAAAGGAGAAAAAGTTGTGCTATTGACATGTCCTCACCACTTGGAAGACTTTCACAGAATAATAAACCTTATCATCATCTCCTTCTTGACATAAATGGCCAATTTTCAAAGCCCATCAATCAGTGTGACCTTTTGTGCATTGGCAAACTTCTGTACACACTGCAACTTCATTTTTAGCCCAGAAAGGATAATGTTTAACAACTCTTTCCTGTATAAGCAAATTGAGCAACTCCAAGTCAATGACTTCTGAATAATTGGAGCAGGGTTCCTGTGTTTTCATAACTGACCCATGATAAATTCAACAGGAACGGTCACATAAATAGCAGACCCCTTGCACTAAGGATGTTAGGAGTGAGAGCTCTCACTGAAAATTTGACCATATTATGCAATTTTTTAACCTACTGAATGAATAATTCCATGACACAGGCAAACAATGCTATTTCTGAAAAATGCTTCAGAGAACTCTTAAATCTCTAATAAATTTTAAGCTCTTTTTAAAATCAATTTTCATTATTTTTATTAGAAAAGTTAATTTCCCCACTTTATATATTTAAATAAAAATGGAAATAAGAAATACTAGTTAAAAGGATTTTTTTTTTCTGATAAAATTGGCAAGAAAAGTTCAACTTTCCTATCAACAATATCAAGTGTTGGTAAGATCATGGGAAATGGACATTTCCTAGGCTGCTGGTGGGAACTTGAGTGATATTACTACTTAGAAGGGAATTGGGCAATATATATAAACATTAAAAACTGTTCTATAATCTAGAATCCATTTCTAGTTATGGGTTTAGAGAGCCCACTCACACACATGTGCAAGAATGTTTATCACAGCATTTTGTATAATAAAGACATATTGCAAATAATAGTATGAATAGTAACTGGTTGAATAAAATATTCATTTATGTAATGTAATGCTAGAAACAGTTAAAAGTAATCAAATCTAGTTATGTGTCAACATGATAAGAACAGATCTCAGAAAATATCACTGAATGAAAAAAGAGTCAAAGAATGATAAAAATTTATTAAAATAATTTCCCATTGAAAGGGGAGGAAGGGGCCTGGGTTTTCAAATGCAAGATTTCATGGTGGAGAAAATAGTTCAACAACATCCTAATTTTAAAAAGAAGAATGCATTTCTTTTCTTTTCTTTTTAAAATTTCTCTTCTTTTCTTTGGCATAAACAAATTTTTAAAGCAAAAACCCGAGGCCCAGAAAGCTTAGGGGGTTTACCCAAGAACACATGCCAAGTAGGTGGCAAAGAAGACACCAGATTCTAGGCAAACTCAGCAAGGGATGCTCCAGCTGTGACCCTTCTCTATAGTTGCACATCCTTCCAAGAGAAGATATTCTACACTGCCTTACCCATCATCGCAAGAGAAGCACATAAACTCATTTCCAAAAGGAGAAAAATAAAATTATTATGAAGTAGAGAAAGACTTCTTCAGCCCTTCATCAACATACGTATGAAAGCGGGAGGTAATTTTTCTTCCTCTCATTTCCATCCAAGAGAAAGGGTTAAGACCATACCACAGGACTACATATCAGCAACAGCAACTTATCTGCAGATGAAATAGGAAGCAAAATTACTTTGCAATTGATTTTCCCCATTGAATATGATAAAAGAGGATTTCTGGGTTTCAGCTGATAGAAAAGCAGAAAAACAGTTGAATAAACCCAAATTACATTTAATGAAGCACACGCTGATAAAGTATGCAAGATATTTGATGAGTGACTTCCAAAAACATTTATCAATAGCGTTATAGAGCAATTTTACTTGAAAAATGAAGAATTGAGGGAATCCAAACGATACAAAATTATCAGCTTTGGCTAATGTAGAGATGGGTAACAGCCAGTGGTTAATGCTAAATTTCCTTGGAATATCACTTTGCCTCCCTTCAAACTGGTATATAAAGATTACTTTTAGCATATGCTCAGTATTATGGCAAAAGGTGCCTTTAGCTGGGCTTGAAAAAAGAGTTAATATTCAGGTAGACATTAGATTAATACCTAGGAAACCCAAAGGACAATTAACTCTCCATGAATGAGAGCAGTCCTAGAAAGATTCTATGCATGGCTGAGCATGCAGGCATTTTCAACGCAGCCTGCTCTCCATTACCTCTAGGAGTGGGGTGGGAAATGGCTGCCTCCTGGGTCATTAGCTTGCTGGGAAGTTGGGGAGGAGGTTAGCAAATAGCAGTTTGGAACATCCATATGCTGGTCAGGAAAAGCCAGCTGGAGTCCTCTATGTGATCAGGACTAATTACAAATGACCGATTGGATACAACCAAACAGTGCTGCGCTGCCTTTCTAATCTGCCACAGACTGTTGACTTACTTGGGCTCCTGGCTTAGTATCCAAGCACACTGTAGATGCACAAAAAGTTAGAAGAAGGAAGGAAAAAGGAGAAAAGAAAGAGAAAGAGACCCAGAAACAGAGCAGAAGAAGGAAAGAGAAGAGAGGATGGGGGGAGACTGGGAAGATAGAAGACATAAGGAAAAGAAAATTAAAAGAAGGATCAAAGGTTGCCCAGGATTCATATTACATAGTGCCTTTTTATTTTCAGGATGTCCAATATTTACCACAATATTGAATAGAAAATATTCTAGTTTCTTCTTTGTTTTCATGCTCTAGTTATTATGGACATTATATATATGTTTCATTTGAACAGAAATGATATGTACAGAAGACCCTCATTTTCAGCTCCTATATTAATAACCAATGTGACACATTTTGTTTCCAAGCCTAGATTATGCTTCATAATCCTTTTCAATGCGGGGATCCAGGAAGCCATTTCCAATGGGCTGAAGTTGGCACATTGGATGAACACTATTAGCCATCTCTCCATTAGGATCATTGTCCTAGTTCTACATTTCACTTAGCATTGAAGCTTTTATCTCAGGAAACTCATTGTATTATGGAAATTCTATTCAATAACAAAAAAACATTTATTTTCATTACATTGTTATAAGTAGAATGATCTCAATATATTATTTAAGAGACATGAAAATATGACCCTATTATCTATAGTTATCTCATTAAAACTGGATCTGGTTATAACATATAAAGGGCTGGATAGACCATTTTAAAAATAAAATCTATTTACTGCAAATGAATTATGTCTGAAAACATCAGACTGTGGTAATCTGGGAAAGGTTAGGGCTACCATGTAAAACAGGACATTTTTCCAGCTACAAGAGATGGTCAACAGTTTAAATTATATAATTCCTTTATTATATAACTAAATTTGAATTGGCAATAATGCAATATAGATAAAATATTATATCTTTTAAAATGTGGCCACGGTAGTGATTTATAATTTTATTCTTTTCATAAAATATATAGGTTGTTAAGAATGCTTCATGACTTTCAAAGTGGTGAATATGGATAAAATGCCATAGAATTCTTCCTGGCTTTGTCTGAGAGGAGGAGTAGCAAACAGATGAAGAAGGATAATGTAAATAACAGTATCCACATATAGAAAGTTACTACATGCCAATCTATTATGTAAAGTGTATTATTATGTGCATTGTATTATTCGTGCATGTTAATTCATTATTATTATATGCAGTGTATTATATTCATGCATGAATTAATAATACACTGCATATATCCTAGGGTCCATGCATGAATACATGCAGTGTATTATTAATTCATGCTTTGACTTTAAGATATTGGCATTGTTATTCTAGTTGTCAGAGGAAGACACTAGCCTAGGAAGGTTAAGTAACAATGAGCAAAGGCAGGATTCGATTTGAGATGTTTACACCACTGAATTTGGTGCCCTTAACAGTTGTTCAATCATCAAATCACGTATTAGGAAGCAACCCGCCATTCATGTATCTAAGCCAAAAAAGGTTGAGCATCTCTGCAGAGCAAACCATCTCCTTTCCAAGTCTGCCCATCCAGAGCAGTGTCCAATGACTTTAAAGCTTCTAATCATATATGCAAAAAGTTATCAGCCTACATTATTTCATCAAGATATGATGTAGGCCCTACCCTCTCCATTAAAACTAACCTGATCACCTCTGCCTCCTTTGAAAAACTCAATACCAACTCTCTCACATGGCATATGTGTAAAAACTTGGCGGCCCGGTGCGGCGGCTCATGCCTGTAATCCCAGCACTTTGAGAGGCTGAGGCGGGTGGATCACCTGAGGTCAGGAGTTTGAGACTAGCCTGGCTAACATAGTGAAACGCGTTTCTACTAAAAATACAAAAAACTAGCCGAGCGTGGTGGTGGGCGCCTGTCATCCCAGCTACTCGGGAGGCTGAGGCAGGAGAAGTGCTTGAACTCCGGAGGCGGAGGTTGCAGTGAGCTGAGATCGTGCCATTGCACTCCAGTCTGGGTGACAAGAGCGAAGGTCCGTCTCAAAAAGCAAACTATCAAACAAAAAACTTCGCTTACCTGTTTTCCTCATAGCAGTACCTGACATGATTACTACTTAGATACACTTTGCACGGACACCATTAAAAATGTTTGTTCAGGCCAGATGCGGTGGCTCATGCCTATAATCCCAGCACTTTGGGAGGCCAAGGCGGACGAATCACGAGGTCAGGAGATCGAGACCATCCTGGCTAACAGCGTGAAACCCCGTCTCTACTAAAAAATACAAAGAAAAAAATTAGCCAGGCGTGGTGGCAGTCACCTGTAGTCCCAGCTACTTGGGAGGCTGAGGCAGGAGAATACCGTGAACTCAGGAGGCAGAGCTTGCAGTGAGCCGAGATGGCGCCACTGCACTCCAGCCTGTTCAAGCTCCATTTAGTATGTTGATTGCAAAGCTGAACACCTAGAAGAACACCATTTTGTAAGTAAACTGTTTTGTGTATATGTCTGTGAAGTGCCTACATGCACTTTTGGTTTTGAACATGGAAAAGTAAAAAGGGAGAGGCGATAGGCATTCCATAAAGAGGAAGAAAACATAAGCAAAAAAAGGCACATCAGAGGAACACTTTTTGGATCCTTGCGGAAAAAAGTACATAGTTCATTTTGGATGGAGTATAGACTTCCTGGTGAAACTAAAGTCGGAAAGATGGATTGAAAGCAGATTACAAATTAACCTGGATTATCAGATAGTTCATAGTAGACTATATTTTATATGGAGGAATCTCAAACACTGCATTATTCTGTGGATTATTAATAAGTAATGATTATTAAATTATATTTTGGGAGACACTGTGTTAAAGAGATGTGTTCTCTGTTGGAACTCTGAGAACTTCAATGTATCTGTATTAGTTGGTTTTCATGCTGCTAATAACGATATCCAAGATTAGGTAATTTACAAAAGAAAGAGGTTTAATTCGACTCCCAGTTCCACGTGGCTGCGGAGGCCTCACAATCATGGCTGAAGGTGAAAGGCATGTCTTACATCACAGCAGGCAAGAGAGAATGAGAATCAAGAGAAATGGGTTTGTCCTTTTCAAATCATCAGATCTCGTGAGACTCATTCACTATCACAAGAACAGGGCAGGAAAGACCCGCAGCCGTAATTCAATGACCTCCCACCGGGTTCTACCTATGACATGGGGGAATTGTGGGAGTTACAATTCCATATGAGATTTGGGTGGGGACACAGCCAAACCATATCTTCAGCCCCTGGCCACTCCCAAATTTCATGTCCTCACATTCCAAAACCAATCATGTCTTCCCAACAGTCCCCCAAAATCTTAACTCATTTCAGCATTAACTCAAAAGTCCACAAGTCCAAAGTCTCATCTGAGATGAGGCAAGTCCCTTCTGCCTATGAGCATGTAAAATCAAAAGCAAGTTAGTTACTTCTTAGATACAATGGGGGTACAGGCATTCGATAAATACAGCCATTCCAAATGGAAGACATTGGCCAAAACCAAGGGGCTACGGGCCTTATGCAAGTCCGAAATCTGGCAGGGCAGTCAAATCTTAAAGCTCCAAAATGATCTCCTTTGATTCCAAGTCTCGCATCCAGGTCATGCTGATGCAAGAGGTGGGTTCCCATGGTCTTGGGCAGCTCCACCCCTGTGGCTTTGTAGGGTATAGCCCCCCTCCTGGCTGCTCTCACGGGCTGGTGTTGAGTGTCTGGCTTTTCCAGGCACACAGTACAAGCTGTCGGTGGATCTACCATTCTGGGGTCTGGAGGATGGTGGCCCTCTTCTCACAGCTGCACTAGGCGGTGCCCCAGTAGGGACTCTGTGAGGGGGCTCCAACCCCATATATCCCTTCTACACTGCCCTAGCAGAGGTTCTCCGTGAGGGCTCGCCCCTGCAGCAAACTTTTCCCTAGGCATCCAGGCATTTCCATACATCTTCTGAAATGTAGGCGGAGGTTCCCAAACCTCAATTCTTGACTTCTGTGCACCTGCAGGCTCAACACCACGTGGAAGATGCCAAGGCTTAAGGCTTTCACCCTCCGAAGGAAGAGCCCGAGCTGTATGCACCTTGGCCCCTTTTAGTCATGGCTGCAGTGGGTGGGACACAGGGCACCAAGTCCCTAGACTACACACAGCACGGGAACCCTGGGCCCAGTCCATGAAACCATTTTCTCCTAGTCCTCTGGGTCTGTGATGGGACAGGCTGCTTTGAAGACCTCTGACATGCCCTGGAGACACTTTCCCCGTTGCCTTGGAGATTAACATTAGGCTCCTCGTTACTTATACAAATTTCAGCAGCCAGCTTGAATTTCTTCTCAGAAAATGAGATTTTCTTTTCTATCGCATTATTAGGCTGCAAATTTTCCAAACTTTTTTGCTGTCTCCCTTTTGAAACTGAATACCTTTAACAGCACCCAAATTACCTCTTGAATGCTTTGCTGCTTAGAAATTTCTTCTGGCCAGTGGTTCACACCTGTAATCCCAGAATTTTGGGAGGCTGAGGTGGGGGGAACACTTGAGGTCAGGAGTTCGAGACCAGCCTGGCCAACGTGGGAAAATCCTGTCTCTACTAAAAATACAAAAATTAGCTGGGTGTGGTGGTAGGCACCTGTAATCCCAGCTACTCAGGAGGCTGAGGCAAGACCAGCCTGGCCAACACGGTGAAACCCTGTCTCTACTAAAAATACAAAAATTAGCCGGGTGTGGTGGTGGGCAACTGTAACCCCAGCTACTCGGGAGGCTGAGGCAGGAGAATCGCTTGAACCCAGGCAGGCAGAGGTTACAGTGAGCCAAGATGGTGCCACTGCACTCCAGCCTGGGAGACACAGCAAAACTCTGTCTCAAAAAAAAAAAAAAAAAAAAGAAAAAAAAAGAAAAAGAAATTTCTTCTACCAGGTATCCTGACTCATCTCTCTCAAGTTCAAAGTTCCACAGATCTCTAGGGCAGGGGCAAAATGCTGCTAATCTCTTTGCTGAAATATAACAAGAGTCACCTTTGCTCCACTTCCCAACAAGTTCCTCATCCCCATCTGAGACCACCTCAGCCTGGATTTTATTGTCCATATCATTATCAGCATTTTGGTCAAAGCCATTCAACAAGTCTCTAGGGAGTCCCAAACTTTCCCACATTTTTTTATCTTCTTCTGAACCCTCCAAACTGTTCCAGCCTCTGCCTGTTACCCAGTTCCAAAGTTGCTTCCATATTTTCAGGTATCTTTTCAGCAGCTCCCCACTCTACTGGTACCAATTTTCTGTATTAGTTCATTTTCATGCTGCTGATAAAAACATACCCCCAGAGTGGGTAATTTACAAAAGAAAGAGGTTTAATTAGATTCACAGTTCCACACTGCTGGGGAGCCCTCACAATCATGGCAGAAGGTGAAAGGCACATCTTACATCGCAGCAGGCAATAGAGAGAATGAGAGTCAAGCAAAACGGGTTTCTCCTTGTTAAACCATCAGATCTTGTGAGACTCATTCAATATCACGATAACAGCGTAGGAAAGACTTGCCCCCATAATTCAAACACATCCCACCAGGTTCCTCCTACAACATGTGGGAATTGTGGGAGTTACAGTTCAAGATGAGACTTGGGTGGGGACACAGCTAAATCATATCAGTATCTAAGGCATTGACTACACAGTATTCTCCAGATCTCTCTGATTACATTATTCCTTTCCCCCCCATGAAACTACTGATAAGATGTACAATAGAAAATGACTCTGCTTATTGGAGAATTGCTTAAGAAAATAAACAGGTGATCCATAAATGAGGTATAGAAAATCTAGATTGGAATGCTATATATATTGCCACTACGTTGGCATCAACTACTAGATAAGTTATCTCCAGTCAAGTGGTTCTATCTGCTATTTTGTTAATTTCTGAACAAGAAGGTAGTTGGGTAATTTGACATATTCAACTCAATAACTAATCTACATCTGAATCTATAATTTTCTTCTTTTCCATAAGGTCAAAGAAACTCACAGAATTTGAACTACGTGTGTATTTTCTTTGCATGAGAATAGATGCTGTCCATAAATAATAATATATTATGGCTGTATATTCTAATATTTTAAGCCTTAGCTACTTTATTAATATGGAGTCATGAATTTAATGTCCTGTCATATACTTCTAAAGTTTTCATTATACTAAATCCACATAAAATTCAGACAAGACAGAGTATTGTGTTGTGGACTTCTTAATCATTTTTAATGATTTTTAAATGAATGTATGAAGTTCAGAAGCTCCATAATTGAATAAAAATTCATTTTTTGAGATTACATCTGAAATATAAAATACTTATTTTGAAAACAATTTGGTTGAGTATTTTGAGAATAAACATTAAAAATTTTGTCTTGTCTAGTTTAAAAATGTTTTCCTATATTATTAAATTATTTGTCTTTTTTTTTTTTTTTTTTTTTTTTTTGAGATAGAGTCTTTCACTGTTGCCCAGGCTGGAGCGCAGCAGCACATCTCAGCTCACTGCAACCTCTGCCTCCCGGGTTCAATCGATTCTCCTACCTCAGCCTCCTGAGTAGTACGGGCACCTGCCACCATATCCAGCTAATTTTTTGTATTTTTAGTAGAGATGGAGTTTCTCCATGTTGGCCAGGCTGGTCTCGAACTCCTGACCTCATGATTTGCCCATCTCGGCCTCCCAAAGTGCTGGTATTACAGGCGTGAGCCACTGCGCCCAGCCCTAATTATCTGAATGAATTAATATGATTCCAATATATACTTATTTAATAAGAGTTATATTAAGATGTAGTAGGATATCTGAAATGTAAGCTGTTTATTATGCTAATTAAAACTCATTTTCATATTAAATTTTTTTGTAGAAGCTAAAGGATCTCAACACAAGATAATACAAAGATATGTTACATTGATAATTTTGTAGTTACATCTATACCGTTTTATTAAAAATATCATATTGACTTACCCTGGATGGTTCAAAGATCTGAACTATATTGTGCTTTTTGTAAATATATCAATTTAAAGATTAGGAGGCTTTCCTCATAAAAAGATAAGATCATAATGTGAACAATGATGTTTTACACGAAAATGTTTCTTAGAGTTTATCATTATTTTTTGAATTATGTAAATATTTATACCATATTTTCACTTTAGGAGGAAAAGATCAATGTGGAGATTAATAGAAAGACTATATACTTGATAGGACGATACCAATAGTACAAATGTCACATTACTTTATGCTCAAGTATTAGCTATGTTCAGGTTTTAACTCAAAGAAAAAAACCAATTTAGAAATATATATCCTTTAAATTGCTTTAACTTAGCTAACAATTAGTAGCTCAAAAAAATCAAGAACAGCAATAAAAAGCATAAGAGGGGAAAATAATCTTTGAAAGAGTAACAGCATAAACAGAAAGAATCTACATATTAGTCTTAATCTCCACCTGATACTGTTACCCTTCTCAAGTCTAAGTTCTGAAATTAATTTTAAAATCTTTTTTGGTTGTTTCCTTATAACAACACCTAACATAATACAGTGTGTACAGAAGCCATTAAAAATATACTGAGTAGAGAACTCACACTTTGTAGAACATGGCCACGATATTTAATCTGTATTAAAATGGACTTGACACCAACAGATATTTTATAAATTCATTTTCAGGTCAAAGTATACAGATTACCTGCTGTTAATAAACTTTGTTAAGGAAAAAATACAGAAATGCATGTGTCTGTTACTAAAAAAAAAAATTCAATATTTATTACCAAAATCCAATTAATACTTTGGGAAGTGAAACAACAATAAATTGTTGTCTTTTGGCAGAGCAAAAGAAAACAGAAATTTACTAGTCTAAATGTTGCATTTTAAAGCACTCTAATAAATTCTCAGATTTTCCTTAAAACATTAAAGCAATAACGTGTATTTATTTCATTTATCAACAGTCTAACATGATATTCAATCTTTGACCAAAGTACATACTATGAACGTCTAAATTTCAGGGCTGGTGGGGCAGTTGTCAAGGGTTATATTCCATCTAACCACCTTGACATTTGCTGAATACAAAGTTTGACTTTTTCCCTCCTTTACAAATAATTCTCAGATGTGCGGTGGAAATGAGGGAGAAAGGTAGCATTTAAAAGTTAACTGGAATAGAAAGGAAAAAATGTTTTTCACTTATGAAAAGCAGCACCAATAATTATTCAATGAATTTGGAAATCAACTCCAGCAGAGAAGTATATGAGATTCCTGCTGATATTGGTCATCTGAGAAATAATGATTTATTGCTGTTTGGTATATGCTTACTTATGTGAATACAATTTTCCACTGTGGAATCAAAATAAAATAAGCGTTCCAACAGCTTGCAAGATTTCTTCAAAGAGATGAAGAGAAACAAATTGGGCACTAATGAATGCGTTTAGCAAAGCTGATTCACTCTGTGACTGTGAAGTGTACAACAAGCAGAAGAAAAGAATGCAGTGGGGTTACCTTAACCGGTTTTTATTTTTCCGGTATGGAGAAGAAATGATAAAGGTTATATCTATGGAAATCATAATTTAGAGCAATATCAGAAAACACTGCTTTTCAATCTTTTGCTGCCTCATGCTGAAAAATTCAGATGCTGGTAATTCAGATTTAAATACGAGTTCACGTTGATGATGAGCTGTTTTATGGAGGTAAACCACTCACTGTGCTTTCCCATATTGCGAATCTCTCCTAAAAATCTATGGTGGCAAGTGAGTAATTGACCAGGGGTAACAGTTTGTTTCCAGGGGGGTTTTTACTGCATTAGAATTTAACTTCCATATATTTTTCTCTTATCTTGACCATTATTTTTCTCAAGTGTAGATATACACTTAAAATTCCAGTTTACAGAAAGCATTGAACTTCCATATATATATATATATACATATATATATACATATATATGTATATATATATGTATATATATATATCACACCTTGGAATCATGAGCTAAATGTAAAATCATAAATTCATAATGATTCTCACTGTAAATACATAAATGATTAAAATTCCTATTTTATTCATATGACATAGTCATGAAAATATTATTTGCAGTTATTCTGTATTAACAGAGAACGCCTTTTTAAAAAACACTGGGTGGTAGGAAAAACAAGTTTATCTTGTCATTCCTAAGTTATGATTAATATGTACATGGATATATAAATCGATAAATGTCTGTTGTTGTGTATATAGATAGATGTAGATAGGGAAGTATACATATATATTTCAAGATTGAATGCAATCTATTTTTTAGACAACATTAGCTAGGCAAAGAGAAAGGAGAGATATAATAATGTAATGCAAAACAACTGTCTTAAATTTCCTTTCATTCAAACTTTTCCTGAATCTTGGTTGTTAAGAAGTACTCTCATTTTTAAAATAATTTTCTTCACTTTCTATCAAAGATTTTTAATGTTTTTCCCCTTGATACCCAAATTACTTGCGATACACTTTTGTCCCAGCTTTAACATTCTAAAAATATTTTTCCTGCCTTCTTTGCTATCAACCTAAATATGGGGGAACTAACCTAAGTCATTTTGTATCTCTTCTGAAAATATCTTTCTCTTTCACAGGCTGATATTAACCAAGCAATGAAATAAGGTACATCATTTTCTTCCATATGTAATGGTTCAGATAAAAAGAAATTGATAATTGTCTTAATGACCTAAAATCTAAATGTTATGCCCTCACTATGAAAATTTCATAGTAATATTATGGCTAGGCTAACAATAAAGATTCGTAGATCATTTGTTCTATATTCAAAGGTTTAAATTCTTTCTTTATGTACAACTTTAGCTTTGGGATTCCCCAAATAAGAGAGAAGATTACCAGCCATTCAACTAGATATTTCGAATCATTAAAATTCTTGAATTTTTCAGGCTCCATAAAGTGATTGGCTTGCATAGAAACATTGGAAATATGA
The DNA here is from genome assembly GCF_000001405.40 of Homo sapiens. Classification (NCBI taxonomy): domain Eukaryota; kingdom Metazoa; phylum Chordata; class Mammalia; order Primates; family Hominidae; genus Homo; species Homo sapiens. The sequence continues at coordinate 167,430,922 of NC_000005.10, read as the reverse complement.
CATAGCAGTAGATTACCTATTTCTATTTTCTACTCCCTGTATTCTTGAAAACTGTGGACCAAATTATCTGCTAGGTATTGTTTGGCTCTGACATTTGTAGGCAGAATGAATGATTTTGGATTAGAAATGTTGTTATTAGAAGAAACTTTGTGAGAGCTGTCACAGTAGAGTTTAACGGATATGTTATTAATGGGAAAAATGTCCATTTTTCAAAACCCCTAAAGCCCAAACCTGTTTTGGGATTCTGTTTGTTTGTTTTGATTTTTGCTGCTAGGGCAGCCCCATGGGGCCACTTAATAGGCTGCACCACCTCCCATTCTCTCTGGTTATTCTAGTTGTGATGGCACTTCCAGCGGAGAATAGCTAAAATTAACAGACAGCAAACCAGACCCCCCGCCATCTCCGGAAGCCCAAATGCCAGGAATCTCAGAGAAAATTGTCAAAAATTTCAGATATTAAGGGACAGGAGGAGAGCACAAAATAAACTAATGAACGGCCCAGGCTGGAGAACCAAGGGGACTTCTAAGAAAAACCTAAATGAACACCTCCTTCTGTTGAATACTTATGGTGGACAAAGCACATTACGTTGATTATTTTATTTAATCTCTACCGTACGAGTTTGATTGATCGTGATGGCCATTTTACAGATAACAAAACTGAGGCTTAGGGAAGTAAGTGGCAGAGTCAGGATTCAATCTTGGTAGATTTTTACATACATAATTATTATTTTTTAATGTAGAGTATATCACATTATTCCCTTCCAGACAAACCTCTCCGTTGGTTTCTCTGCCACTTAAAATAAAATCAAAACTCCTTAGAGATCACAGCCTTAGATGATTTTGCCCCTGTACTCTCCCCACCAGTCTAATCTTTTCTGCCCTCCACCTCAGCCACTCATTCCCTTCCTTCTACCAGCACTCCACATTCATTCTTCTCAGGACATTTGGCCATGCTATCTTCTCCCAGGTTTCCTTGTGGCTATCTCCTTTTTGTAAGTCTCCTCTCAGCTTACATGATGTATTTTAAGAGAGTTTCCTCCTGTAATCCCAGCACTTTGGGAGGCCAAGGAGGGTGGATCACCTGAGGTCAGGAGTTTGAGACCAGCCTGGCCAACATGGTGAAACCCTGTCTGTACTAAAAATATAAAAATTAGCCGGACATGGTGGTGGACACCTGTAATCCCAGCTACTCAGGAGGCTGAGGCAGGAGAATCGCTTGAACCTGGGAGGCGGAGGTTGCACTGAGCCGCGGTCGCTTCACTGCACTCCAGCCTGGGCAGAGTGAGACTAAGTCAAAAAAAAAAAAAAAAAAAAAAGAGAGAGAGAGAGAGAAAGAGAATTTCCCTGACCTTCCTGATGACCTCCACGGCTCTCCCCACAAGTTATATTTTATTTTCTATTCTTCAGTCCTCACTTGTGCTTTTGTCTTGTTCATTTTCAGGCTCCCCCTACTTCCAAATTACATTCCATGAACACAGGGACTGGCTTGTTTACACGGATGTCTGCAGCACCTGTAGCAGGGCCTGGCACAGAGGAGATGTGCAGTAAGTAATTTTGGATGGATTAATTTAGTCCTCACAACAATCTTTTGAGAAACATAGGAGGCAAGCTTACAAATGAATTCTCTGCTACTCAAACCACAGAGCTTGCTGCATGGAGAGGAACAATTAAAACAAACCCAGAGGCAAAATCATGACCACTTTTCTATAAACTGATGCTAGATCCTCATCCCTGCCAGAAGTTGTCTTAATGAGAGGCATTGATTTTGAAGAGAAAATGGCTCATTGCAAAGCAGGTAAAACTATGAGAAAGCTTTAAAAGATATTTATATCATAGGATTCCATTCAAAAATTCCATTTATAGATTTGCCAGGAGAGAGAAAAAAACACACGTGTATAAAAATACTTTCTGGGAATGCAGAAAGGGATGGGTTTAACACTTAAAGGACATTAGGATGTTACTGATGAAGAAGGACATTATTTTTAATAGTGATGGAACATGTTCTCAGTGAACTACCATGAGCCTCAAGAAGCCCAAAGGAACAAAACATGAACACATCCTTGTGTAAGGCCCTGACCACTGTTAAGAAAGAGAAGAAATACATTCTTGTCTCTATGCACTGAGCTCGGCCTCGATTGAACAATTATTGAAGGTGGATATCATTTATAAAAGCAACCTGGGATACAGAAAATGCTCTTTTTTTTCATTGTTCAGAGTTATATACTAAAACAAGGCCACTCAATTTTAAGATAAGATCAAATACATCCTTCAAGCCTTCAGTATGACACACTGTAAAAGCATTGCAGGCAAATTAATCATTTTACTTTTTGCAAAGGCACATGTGAAATTTCAAATTCTTTTTTCTCAATTTCAAAACTTTGAAGTAGTCAAATTTGAATGAGCATATATAAAATAAAAAAGGAAGAAAGAAGCTTACAGTTTTACTAGCATGTTTTAGGTATACCATAAATGAATGCTGCTGATTAGTAACGTATTTGAAGACCAAAATGTTATTTTTAAAAAAACACAATAGCAGTCTTTAAGAATTTCAATAACCTGTAGAAGTTTGCAAAACAAAATTTACCTAACTAAAATTTGGTTGTATTTATTCAAAGGATAGGGTTACTGAGGCACTTAAACTTTATTGTTTTAGAAGCAATTTAGATTCATTTCCTACTAATCATTTCAATGTAGCCATAATAGTAATTAATTTTTTAAAAAACTCATATATCTATTGAGGAGACAGCATGATCTCTGTATCTATAGCATTTTGCCTTTTATAGAAAGAAAATACTCATTTTAAATTGAGATAGTAAAAGACTTGCATAAATTAATAGTAACAGACAAAAAAAGGAGGGAATAGAGAAAATTCTGAATTAGTGAATCTGAATGGAAAAATACACTAGAATACCAGATACTGAAACCAGGAATTATTATTGTTGGCTTCTTTCTCTTTTTCTTTCTTTCCTTCCTTCCTTCCTTCCCTTCCTTCCCGTCCTTCCTTCCTTCCCTTCCTTCCCTTCCTTTCCGTCCTTCCTTCCTTCCCTTCCTTCCCTTCCTTTCCGTCCTTCCTTCTTCCCTTCCTTCCCTCCCGTCCCTTCCTTCCCTTCCTTTCCGTCCTTCCTTCCTTCCCTTCCTTCCCTTCCTTCCCGTCCTTCCTTCCTTCCCTTCCTTCCCTTCCTTTCCGTCCTTTCTTCCTTCCCTTCCTTCCCTCCCGTCCCTTCCTTCCCTTCCTTCCCGTCCTTCCTTCCTTCCCTTCCTTCCCTCCCGTCCCTTCCTTCCCTTCCTTTCCGTCCTTTCTTCCTTCCCTTCCTTCCCTCCCGTCCCTTCCTTCCCTTCCTTCCCGTCCTTCCTTCCTTCCCTTCCTTCCCGTCCTTCCCTTCCTTCCCATCCTTCCCTCCCTCCCTTCCTTCCCTTCCTTCTCTTCCTCCCCTTGCTTCCCTTCCTTCCCTTCCTTCCTTTCTTTTTTTCCTGAGATGTTTCACTCTTGTCACCCAGGCCAGAGTGCAGTGGTGTGATCTCGGCTCACTGGACTATCCACCTCCTGGGTTCAAGCAATTCTGCTGCCTCAGCCTCCCAAGTAGCTGGGATTACAGGTGCCCACCACCACGCCCAGCTAATTTTTGTATCATTAGTAGAGATGGGGTTTCACCCTGTTGGCCAGGCTTATCTCGAACCCCCAACCTCAGGTGATCCACGACCTTGGCCTCCCAAAGTGTTGGTATTACAGCCGTGAGCCACCGCGCCCGGCCTTTCTGTTTCTTTTGGTTGTTTTGTCTTTCTCTTTTTCTTTCTCTTTCTTTCTCCCTCCCTCTCTTCCTTCCCCACTTCTTTCATCCTTTTTTTTACTTTTTCTTTGAAAATAAAAACTGAACACACGAAGGCATCCTGACCACATGTTGTTCTTTCACCCCTGCCATGTTGCTCACAGTGCCCCAGCTGGGAAATGACATCTAGAGCACATCTGTCCTTGTAGTTTTTATTCTATGATCTTGAAAGGACAAGCTATTTATGTGACTCATGGAGGTTTTTGTAGTGAAAATAATGTTTGAGATGATCAATTTAGTATTGAAAAAAATGTAGAGCATATGTTGTTGATTTTTTTTTCTTCTAGAATTCACCTTGCTGCTAGGCTTCCAAATTCCTGATAAACATTCGCTGATAAACTCTCAAAGTAAACACAGGTACGATGAAGAAATAGCTCAAATTGTATCAACAGCCCATGTTTTGATAGATCTGACAGATCAGTTCAGTTAAATACCAAATTAGTGAACTACAAAATGGATCGCAATCACACCAAAACAGTTAAGAAAGAAGCAGTGAAATGGAAGCATTACCAAAATGCTTAAATCTAGAATTTTTTTTTTTTTTTTTTTTGTAAAGGCAAGGTGTCACTATGTTGCCCAGGTTGGTCTCAAACACTTGGGCTCAAGCAATCTTCCCACCCCTGTAAGAATTAAAGAAAGAGGAAAGAAACATGAACGGTGTCTTGACAATTAAGGACAGGTTTATTTTAGAGAAAACAAACCCAAGAGGGGTAGCCTCCTGAACAGCTGGGACTACAGACATGCACTACCACACCTGGCAAGGTATTTTTAAATAAAACTTTTGTAAGATTACTTTTTAAAATACTATTGTGAATAGAAGTGCGCATATTTGAAGAGATGTTACAGTGCCATTTTATATTGCATGGCTCATATCAGAATTCAAGAAAAACATGCATTTAAAAAACTTTTAAAATGTATTTTTAATTAGAATTTCAAAGAGAGAATGACTGCAGCATACTCCTCTGTGGCTTGGCGTCTGGGGTCAGTGTCAGATCCAAGGGAGTCCGGGTTCTTAGGTTTATTTTGAAGTCGATTTCATTCCCAGTAACAAAAATGAGGAGGGTGGCAGGTTATGAGAAGAACGAATGTGATATACATAAAAACCCTTACTCACAAAATATTCCCAGTTCCTTCAATTGACCCTAATTTAAAAATAAATCACACTACATTAATAACAGCAAAAGTAATGCTAACGACAGTATTACCAGCAATAATAATAAGTGATTGAGCACTCACTGTCAGGCACTCTGCTAAATACTTAACAGGGATCATCTCAATTTTCACAACAGCCCCATGAAATAGGTGTCATCATCTTCACCATCATCATCATCATCAGCAGCAGCAGCAGCAGCAGCATTGTTATTTTATAGTTGAAGAAACTGAGACGCAGAGAGATTAAGTAATTTCCCATGTTCATACAGTTATTAAGCTGTGGAATTAAGGACCAGTAGGATATTATATCTTGTGTATTTTATCTTATTTCTACATAAAATGCACAAATTCTCAGGAAGATAACTGAAAAGCACCTAAGAGGAAAATACAAGAATGCATATCAAATATCAAAAGCTGTATGTTTGATTAAAGAGAGAGATTAAAATTTAGAAATTGAAATTTGCATTTGGATAGTACCTGGCACATAGTAAGCCCTCACTGAGTGCTATTTGTTATCCCAAACTCATTTAATCTCCAAGGCCATCCTAGGAGCTGGGTGTTATCTCCACACTTACAAACGAAGGTGCCAGAAGGTCAAGATACTTGTTGACCTCGGAGTCCAAGCTCTTACCAGCATGCTCTCTTGCCTCTCAGAAGACCAATTCACAATTTTTCTTCCAGTTTATTGGATTATTTCATTTGATTTATCAGTCACGAGAATTGCAGTTTTATACTATCCTCATCTGCCTTGGGAGGAGTTAAGTGGTATTTAGAAATAACTCATAGATACTTTGAACTCTCATATTTATATTTTCAACACTTACAAATAAATTTTTCAAACTGCAAAGCAGGTACTATAACCAAACATATAAAGCCATCTATATTCTACTTGGACATTAACATGAAATTGCACTGTGCAAAACCTTATGATAACTGCATTTCATTGGCAAATATTTATTGCATTTGTGATATACTTATAATAAAACAGCTTAATCCATCATTTCAACTGATATGGATGCATGATTTTTGCTGTAGATTATGATACTTCCTTTATGAAACATTATAACTCCCAGAGCTGAGCGAATGAGGTTAGAAAAAACCCCAAACCTGCAAGAATAATATTTTCAATGATTTTGGAATAAGTAATGTGCTAACAACTGCACAAACCTTCATGCTCCAAGCTGAACAGAAGATTTTTTTTTTCACGTAAAATACCAATTTCATATAATCAAAACATGACTTCCACAATACAAAACAAGATGTAATTTTACATTTCTGGGGGGAATATTAAGAGCCTTTAAAAGATGTCTACTTTAATTGTATTGAGAGGTTAAGCATTCTTCAGGAATTGTTCTCCCATAATAACTATCTGGATAGAATTCTGATCACAACAATTAAAAATAAAAGTGACGAGATTGCGGCAAAATTATTATCCTTTTAAATATTGGGAACCATTTAATAACCTTAGTTTTATTATAAAATGGAAATCTGAGCAGAATTTCTTCCAGAGTGTCTTGAGGTAGCTATTTTCTAACATTGAATGACATGATTTCTGAAGATGAATAAATAGCAGGCCAAGCCCTGAAAGAGCTCACAATTTCTGAATGTGTGTGTGTGCAGAATAGGGGTGGGGGGTGCTGGAATATATCTAACTCATTTAAAGTACTCTGGGGCTGCTGCAGAAAGGAACTGATTTATTCTGCCTGGGTAAACGGGGCCGGAAGAATGACTGAGAGAACAAGACAATTGTATAGGTCCTTGAAGGACGTCAGGTGGGGCATGTTAGGTCAACACATTCAAGGGCATATGAAATAAAAAAACAAAAACCCAGAATAGAAAATTAATGGATTTTCTGGCCAAAGACAGGTATTTCTGCCGGGACAGAGGCAGAGAAGCAGATTTTTAAAAGAAATAGTTTCAGTTGACAATTTATAACCACACAAAGGATTTGTACTAAAGAGATAATCTGAGGCACTACAAAGCACATGGGACTTGGGACAGCTACCATTAGCGCAGGACATTTAAGGGGTTGAGGAGGTTGCTTCGCCATGGTCGATGGTCTCCAGTGGGAAGAAAGGCAAAAATGGATGCCCCACATGAGAATCATAGAATAGCTACCCATGAATTTCAGAACACTTGATATTGAACTTCACTTACGGCCGAGGGTGAATGAAAATGATTCCAGAATTGCTAACATAAAGCAAAGTACATCCTAGAGATAGATGTGTCTTGTTTTCTCAGTATAATGCTTAAAGAAGTCCTGGACTATTGTTTTCCAGGGTGCCCAACGTGGGAATGCTTCAGTGGCAAAGAAGAGCAAATGTTTAAGGACAATTATTAAAAGGGGAATTATTTACTTTATAACGTATCAAGAAGGCATTTTTAATGCTAGGCACATCAATCCTTCAATGTCTCTTTCCCTAATTTGCATAAACACTATAATTGACAGCTTATTAACAGTTCATTAAGAACACTAAAACCTTGTGATAAACAACAGCCTGCCAACAGCACAGTGGACAGAATATCTAGCCATGCATTTTATCCACCTCAGAAATCAACCCAGTTTACCAACAATAAGTCCAAAAGGTGGCTTTACTAATCGATATTCTTATACTGACAAGTGCTCAAACATGGCGTGGCAAAGCCCTCATTAAGCACTGATTAGCAGTTAATCTGTCTTTCAGGCAGCTAACTTTGCTGAGTAAATGTACCAATGACCCCTAAAAATGCTACAATAATTTTATTTAAATAATTGCAAGTCTTAGGAACACCTCTAAATCATAAAAAGAAAATGAAAAAATAGAATGGGTGACACTAACAATGTGTATTTTTTGTTCATTGCTAAAAAAAAAATGAAGGTACGGTGTCAAGTTTCATGGGTGACTTTTTCTTCTTAGTCGGAAATGGAACATTTTCATGATTGCAGTTTGAAATATGCTATACAGGAGTCAACGCTGCACAACATGGACAAAACTATTTGTGTTTTCCTGGTAAGAGTGCATCATAAAACTACTGGATGTTGTCTTTCCTTATCTTTGGATGAAAGCCTGATTATAAGCTCATTTCAGTTGAACAAATCTTTCTAGACTTCCTGCTGAGCAGGGCATTTAAACTTTCAAGCAGAGAGGTCTTCATTTTCTGTACCCTGACAGTGTATGCTCCTTGCAGCTCTGGCATCAGGATTCACGTGGAGGCATTGGGATTCATGGAGGTATCTTACGTTAAGGGATTACACACTCCACTTTGCATTTTTCTTTTGGAAATAGACATCAAATAGACTGTTGCTATCAGTGGCATGCATCTTATTAACTCACAATTCTCCTTACCTGGAGTTGTCTTCTTGCAGGGAAGGGAAATGTAAAATAAACATAAGAATCATTCTAGAGAATACTCCAATGTGGACAGAGAGGCTGCCTGATAAATTATTGCTGCAAAGCTCTTTTGCAAAATAAGACATCAAGAGTTGAAAATCCCTTAAAATGTTAGGTATATATCTTTTCACCTATTAGCTTTGGGCCAGTGAAGTTCCTAAAAGCTCACGGCTTAAATCATGGACGTGTTGATCTGCATGAATAACTAGATCTCCTGGGATGCTGATTGGAGAAAATGAGAAATTATTATGTTGAACTGCACATTGTGGATTTCTGAAGTATTTTGAACATTGTAAAATTGCTAGCCACATTATATTTTGGTTAAGATATGAGGTTACATCCTACTGAAGCAGAATAATTGTGCTATTTGTCGAACTAATCACCACTATTGCAAGTGCCAAACAAATACGACGTTTACTTGTAAAAGTCATAAATATATCCTATTAATGGAGAGGGTAGACAAAACATTCTTAAGAATACTACCGGCCGGGAATGGTGGCTCACGCCTGTAATCCCAGCACTTTGAGAGGTTGAGGCAGGTGGATCACAAGGTCAGGAGTTCAAGACCAGCCTGGCCAAGATGGTGAAACTCCGTCTCTACTAAAAATACAAATATTAGCTGGGTGTGGTGGCAGACACCTGTAATTCCAGCTACTTGGGAGGCTGAGGCAGAGAATTGCTTGAACCTGGGAGACAGAGGTTGCAGTGAGCCAAGATCATGGCACTGTACTCCAGCCTGGGCGACAGAGGGAGACTCCATCTCAAAACAAACAAACAAAAAACAGAATACTACCAACAAAATAGTGTGATAAGGAATTTTGTATATACTAGCTCATGTTATATTCACAAGAATCTTATGTAGTAGATGTTCCTATTGTCTATTTTATAGGTAAGGATGCTGAGGTTTATTGTGAACTATCTAGGAGTCCACAGAGCTAATGGACGTGGAAGAGCCATCTTAAATCCAGTTTATTAGTCGCCAACGTCCACACTCTGTCCTGCCACATTACAATGCCCATTGAACGTATCTCCACATATTCACTGGAGCTCTCACTAGAAGTTCAAAGAGGAGGGCCACCTGTTGAGCAGAAGCTTGGCTCTCTTTAAACACCTCAGGGACAACACCCATGCCGAGGCTGGTCTGATCTCTAGTTAAATGGAGCTCTAATAGGCACTTAATTTAAGTTAGCTGTTGACTGAGGACAAGGTTAACGTGTGTACACTGGAAATGTTAATTTCAATATAAGTGACTACTCTATCAGAACAATGCTTTGCAAAACAACCATTAATATTCAAATATAATTACCTTTATTGCTATTGTCAGAAAAACAACACTGAGTAGCATGGATCAGTGGCCTAAGTCAGACTAATATTTCTTTTGAGATATCAACAATGTGGGGGTTTTGTTCCATATGAGGTTAGTTAATTAGCAAATACTCTTAAAGTTTTAGCATAGACGTATTACTGTTTAACCACGACCTCAAAACACCTTTACAATTTTATAAGCCTTTCCCAATTCTTACTATGCTGGTGCCTCCAATCCTAAATGTTAAAGTCCTCTTGTCTCCAATTAATTTAGTTTAGTCTTGTGCTTCAAAAGTATGTGTCCACGTTTTTACTATGGTCTTTAAATAACAATTGAATTAATTCCTTCCTTCACTCATTTCTTTATGCAACAAATATTTTGAGTGTGTGCAACATATCAGGCTTAGTTCTAGGTATATTAGTAAGCAAAACAAAGATTCCTGCCACTCTGGAACTAATATTCCAGTAGGGACAGGGTGATAATAAGAAGAAATTGTGATAGGGGAGTAAATTCTATAGTAGAGAATGATGGTGCTGTCGGAAAAAGACGAGGTATCATGATAAAACAGGGATGGGAAGGCAGTTGCAAGTTTACACAATGGTCAGGGTGGGCCTTATTGAGAAGGTGACATCTGAACTTGAAGGAGACAACATTAGACATGAAGATACCTGAGGCAGAACATTTCAGGCAGGAAGAATACTTAGTGCAAAACTCCCTAAATTGGAAATGGGATTGGCTTATTCAAAGACCGCATGGCTGGAAGTGAGTGAGTGAGTGAGAAGAATACTGGTAGGAGGTGAGGTCATAGAACTTCCAGGGCTCCCCTGCTGAGAAGGGTGTAAAGCCCACTCCACTCCACTTGCCATCATACTTATTACCAGCTATACATGTCCTCATTCACAGTACAGTAGAGAGGCCACCATCCCGGAGTCCACATAGTTTATTTGGTCCCAGAAAGCTTGAATAATTTGACATCATTTAAAAATCAGATTGTTTTTGAGAACTGGATTTTAAGATAGTCTAGAAAAATTAAAAGGTCTCATAGCCTACAATTTCCTTCACACAGGGTAACAATAAGCTCTCCACTTTTCACGGACACGTGCTTTCCAAGTTGCAAACTACTCCTGCATCTGGCTTCCCTATTCCTATTAAGCAACTGGTCACCAGGAATTTTGGTGACCTTTTGCAAAGTATAAAACTCTATACCTACATCTTTTCCTTTTGCCTTCTTTTCGTTTATTATTTTAATTATTACACTTACTTCGAAGTTCAACTTAATTCTAACTCCCTTTATGCCAAATAAATTCTCATTGAAATGTTCCAATCATGCTCTCTGCTGCTGCAAAATCCAGGAATGCTTACTATATTGGTAGAACTTGCTCACTATTGGAAGTCCCCTCTTGTTACTTACAATTTGCCTTTTAAGCTGATTTTAGTTCAAATGAGGGCTGAGTTTTCCCTTTTCGGATAATCTTAACTTCATATCATAAGTATATTTATTCTTGGTTTACTGAAGAGAAGTTGCATAACTCATTTAAAAACATACAGAAAGTGATGAGTAAATCCAGAATTGTAACTTAGGCCTGTCTGACTCTAGAATGGATGCACTTTTCATAGTGTTAGTCAGGGGATGTGCTGAAAATATATTATGTAACTTTGAAAAGGCCATCACTTTGTTTCAGTCATTCTGACCAAGAAGGGCTTTTCAGAAGCTTAAGTGAAACGGGAAAAGATGCTGATGAAATTTTGTCGTTCTAAATACCCATCTGCCCAATTATCTATCTATCTATATTTATTTATTTACTTTGAGACGACGTCTCACTCTTTCACTCAGGCTGGAGTGCGGTGGCACCATCTCAGCTCACTGCAACCTCCACCTCCCAGGCTCAGCCATTCTCCTGCCTCAGCCTCCCAAGTAGCAGGGATTACAGGCATGAGCCACCATGCCCATCTAATTTTTGTATTTTTAGTAGAGGTGGGGTTTCACCACGTTGGCCAGGCTGGTCTTGAACTTCTGACCTCAAGCGATCTGCCCATCTCAGCCTCCCAAAGTGCTGGAATTACAGGCATGAGCCACCTTACCTGGCCTACCAACATATTTAAATAATTATCTATCTATCTATCTATCTATCTATCTACATACACATCTAAGTTTTCATGTGTGTGTGTATATACATATAGTATGTTGTATTTTATGATATGAAACGTATATGTAAATATATACATAATTTTAAGTTTAGGTTGCTTAGTATAGTTATATACTTTAGTCAAATTATCTAATTTCTCAATATGCTTTTATTAGATGATAATGTTTAAACTATCTTGAAGCAATCATAATTTTTTAAGCGACACAGGCACACTTCTATATATGATAATAATTGGTATTTATTCTTGATGCCAAGGGATAGGATGTAATTCCCGCACCTCAACCCACATCACTAATTGCTTTTACCAATGTTGATTTCCCCATCCTTGGCTTTTCAAAATATAATGAAGAAAACCATAAGAATAATGAACTCTTCCTCTTCCCAGCAAACACACGCTTGACATTTTTTATGGAACAAAATGTTGTAAAAAGAAATGTAAAGATTGAATCTAATATTAATCACATAAGGTTTTAAAAGTATGCAAATCTCCATATCTTCCTGTTGGTCACAGATTCTTTATTGTTCATGTCCTGTTCATTGTTCTGGCTACTGCTGTATGGTCAGGAGCTTGTTTGCAAAACTTAGCTTTTCTCAAGCTTCATAGAAGACAATCTAATTTTCCTGCAATTTACCAAATGAAAATATTAAAATATAATATAGCAACAAAGTCACCCTGACAAAGAGGAACAATTAGTAAGTTGAATGTCCACCTTCATTAGGGACTGTAAGTCCAAAGTATTGTATTGAAGAATGGAAAATATTTTGATTCTATACGTTTCTCCAAAGCAATATTTTTTTTTTTTTTTTGAGACAGTTTCACTCTTGTTGCAATGGCACAATCTCGGCTCACCTCAACCTCCACCTCCGGGGTTCAAGCAATTCTCCCGCCTCAGCCTCCCAAGTAGCTGGGATTACAGGCATGTGCCACCACACCCTGCTAATTTTGTATTTTTATTAGAGATGGGGTTTCATCATGTTGGTCAGGCTGTTCTCGAACTCCTGACCTCAGGTGATCCACCCACCTTGGCCTCCCAAAGTGCTGGGATTACAGGCGTGAGCCACCGTGCCCAGCTCTCCAAAGCAGTTTAATTTGATTGTGGTCTAGGTGAGGATGTACGTGTACAAGCACAAATACTTAGTGACACATTATTCAATGCAAATTAATGCAGTAAAACAAATATGAAAATGCAAAATGAAAGGTGGGGTCAGTCTCCAAATGTACACAAAGGGGAGGAGGAACACAAATTATCAAAAAGATGAATATTGAATGCAAATCCACACCAGGGAAACAGCAACACAACCACGTGTAGCCAGGGTGCCAGTGCTGCACGGTAGTTGATGGTTTCACTACAAAGTCAGACAGACCTACTTTTGGGCCCTGGCTCTTCCTCTTACACCTTCACTTTGGTGGGCAAGTTGTTTCACACCTCTGTTTCTTTGACTATAAAAAGGGAATCACACCACTTACCACGTAGGAATGCCATGATGCTTAAACTAGATAATGTATGGAAAGCACTTAGCACAGTACCTGGCACAAAAATTTATAAATTACAATTATAGTTAGCCATCTATGTGTGCTAGGGAAAGGGTAAGATAGAGGAGAGAAAAAGCACATAAGTTCTGTAGGCTGGAATAAGAATAAGCAAAAGGCCTCATGTCACATGGAGGAAATATGAGGGGCTATAATAAAAATTTAAGAGATCCATCTGGCAATTCAGTATATATAGGTTCTACTGGTCTGGGAAGAGATGGCAGAGAGATGGACTAAGAGGGGAGCACTGCACTCCAGTATAGAATGATGGCAGGGGCCAGGGATGGACTGTGCTGGGAAGGAATCAGCAAGTGTTGGTGTTAAATTAGACTTGGAAGGTGAAGGAGGAGAGTCAAAAATAACTCCCAGATAAGAGTGCTAGTGAGCTGGAAGGACACAGAAATGAAGAAGTGACAGACACCCTTCTATTACCTTCAAAGTGAAATGTGCAACTACAGAATTACTGAAGAAGTGTTTCTAAATGTGTAATTCTGGGTGATTAAGATTAGGGACATGGAGAAGGGGCTAAGACATAAAATAAGATCCTAAGACAATATTTGATTATAGATTATCTTTGAAATATTGACATTGAGTTAACAATGGATAAAACAATGACAAGAGAAGAAAAGAAAAACGAAACAATCTATGTAATCAAACATCATTTGATTGATTTGAATGATCTCGAAACAATCATCTGTAATCAAATGAAAATCCTGTTTGAGAAATAAAAGCGATCGATTATACACAGAAAATATCTATAGACAGCTAAAAGAAAAAGGAGTAGTTTTCTGCATGAATCTGGTTTGGAGTTAGAATGTCAGTAAGCATGTTCATTGTACTACTGAATATTACTGTAGCCTGGTAGTCATAAAATGAAAAAACAAAACAAAAACAAAAACAAAAACAAAAACAGCAAGAGAGTAATTCTCATATAATAGTTGTACTGAGGTGACTTCACAGTTATACATGTTTTGGTAATTCTGCAATAAATTTGCCCTAATGTGGTGTCGTGCCAATATTTGCATTGCCAACTGCTGTCATCATAAGCCTTTTAGAGGCACCTGACAGTCCGTTTATCTTGCAAATAGTTGCAAAACAAACAAACAAAAAGTAACGTTATATTTTAAGTTGCTTAAAAACTACTTGCAATTAGGAGCCCCGTATGTATTTAAATCAAAACAACCCCAGCAATGTTTTCAGGATTGCTGTAAATGCAGTACATGGATGAGAATTTACAGTGTTCCATAACAAGGGAAATTGTGATACCAGATTGCATTTACTTTTATCTTACCCAAAGTAACGTTATCTTCAGCAACCATAAAGTAACGGCACTATCATATAAATCTATTTAAAGGAATTGGCACTGTTACAATAAAGGCATCCACACACTGGCTTATTCCCTGAAAATCATCCAAATGCCAATGGCTAAGAAGTGAGACTTTTGATTTCTTCCTGAATCGCTGCTAAGCACCCCCTTCACTCTTACACACATATCCCTCAAACTATGTCAAAAGCAGGAGCAAATTTCCTAACCCAAACTGAAAAGTCCTTGGCTCTCCAAATGACTATAAATTGCATGGCTAAGTGCATATGGCCACAGGGCTGTCACAATTACTTCTCCTGACAATTCATCATAGCATACTAATTCTATAATATCATTACTGCGTCTCTTCTCACTGTACTGATCCAGCCAGCTAATTTAATCAACTAATAATAGATTCAGAAATGGATGCAAGGGGCCCTAGCACTTCAAATTATATTACTAGAGATGTACCACGGCGAAGAGGATACATTCCTCACCATTCAACATAACCTCCAGAAGTTAGGTTTTCCTAATAAGATGGGTGAGATTACTGGTAAAGGTTTCAGTTGAAAAACTTCAACCATAGAATTTTTTCAAAATCAGTACTTTTTTTTTTGCTTCAACAATGTCAACAGAAGGAAAAAATCTAACTTACTTTCTAAGTGCTGGGTTTACTATGGATATTAATAAGACACAGGAAATTCAGAAGTTTTCATAAGAGTAAGAGAAATCAGAGTTCTATGATTAACTGCAAAGTAAGCCATTCAAGAATGGACAATTAATTTTATTAAATTTTAATCTTCTCTGCAAATGTCAATGATAATTAGAAAACATTATTCTTTAACATCACAGTCCATCTTGCATGTCATGAAGAGTAATAAGTTAATTTATTATGAAGGAAAACTAGCCTGAAAACATAATGCTAGAAAGTGTACAACAGGTAAAATACATGCTACAAATATGCATATATCATTTATTTGAATGTAAAGTTAAAGCTGTAGTAGTTTTTTTTCATTTAAAGAGTCACTTATTGGAAAGAATGATACAATTTCCTCCCAGCACTGTTTCATGAAAAGGGACTTACCTATCCTACAGTTGAAATGGTGATAGACAGAAATCTTCCTGTGGCGGACCTGTCAGCCAACTTTGCACCTAGATTTGCTTTGCCATTAACACTTCAGTGAGTGAATGCTGTTCTCTGAGTCCTGGCAAAATTCTTTACCTGTGGATACTTGTGAGGAAAGAGAACCAACTTGCAAAGGAGCTTTTCTCACCAAAGTCTTGAAGCTACCACCCGCCTGATGGAAACTTATAATACAACACAGCTCATTTAGTAAAATATTAACTGATGTACCAAGGTGATATTTCCCAAGCAAATTATGAAAATTTGAATATCGGATTCTTCCACTGATTATTTTTTCCACCAACAGAAAGGATAACTCTTGCTCCTCTGGATGAAGCAACGTTCCCAGAAGCCTGAAGATGAGTGATCTTTAACCAGCAGTGTGAGTGCTGGAAATCGACCTAAGATAGGTTACATTTGATCAGTACCTCTTATTTCCCATTTAAATCATCTGTTAGTGTTTTAAAATCAGGAGACTTCACAGATAAATCTGTATGTCTCACTTTTATTGCAGATCCCAAGATCTGATATTTTCATACACCCAGACACAACAATCAGATAGAGGAAGCTGAGAAGTGGGTGCTCTCTCTCTAGCGAACCAGGGCCCCTACTACCTCCATAAATCACGCCATAAATCACCCTAAATCACTTGCCGAGTGTTAGCTTTTGTTTTTCACCCCATATCAGAACCAATTTTATCCATTTTGCTATCTATATTACATGGACACACCTGTAGCTATTAACATTTCCTAATATTCCTCATTCCAATCAATTTTTTAAAGATCCTTCTACAGTAAAGATTTTTATAAAATATGTATTTACCATAAAATTATTGTTTCTTTTTAAAATATGCTTTTAGATTTTCTGAATATGGTAATTTTACAAGATCATTTCATGCACTTAGAGAGATCAACCTTAAAATTCCATGTAATTGCCTTTATCAGAAAACTTACAGTAAAGTGTATTTCTACAAAAAGTCCGTATCTACCTGGTATGAATCTTTCCTCTGTTAAAAGAGAAAATGAGAAAACTGTCATCGTGATAATGCTTCTGTACAGTTATTTTGAGAAACAAGTATAAATTCAGTAAAATGTCCATCCAATGTGACCCTTTGCTAAATGTGATTCAAACCATGTTTGCCTAGCCTAAATACAAGGCATCTCTGTGAGCACTGTAATATAACAAAACAAATAATTTTCCTTTCATCAATATACAACAGCTTTGTTCATTACTGAGAAACGTTAGGTGGTAAAGTATTGAGCGCTATGCATTTTATGCTTAAATCAATGTACTGTCTTGCAGTTTATGCCACCTAATGTGTTTTTAAGTCATCCGCTACAGAGATCAATGTGATTCTTATTTGATATTCAGTGTTAAGTTCAGCCTCATAAATTTAGAATTGCACTCTGTTATTTTGATGGTTATATATTAACCACGTACTGAAAGTTTTATGATTTTATACTCAGCCTGGCTGTAAATCTTACTGGTTCTATACGTAAAGCATAGGGTCTGGCTTGATTTTTATTGCTCTGCTCAGAAGGAAACGGATGGATGGCTGGATATTTGAGGGAGGTAAACCTACAATGTGTTTGGATAAATACCTCAGGTATGTGAGCCTTAAAGGCATGGTTCAGAAAATTCAAATTAGACATCTCACTGCAACCAGCCTCGTAAGCATGGATAATAATGCAATAGCAAGGTGTCACAAATTGGTAATCTTTTATATTAGTATCCTCAGTGGTATGGGCTTTGACCTCATACAAGTTTATCCATGCTCACTCTGTGGTGAGTTAGTCTGACAAACATGGTTCCAGGTAGGTTAAATAGAGAGAAGAAATTGAATACATCGTATTTCATTACTCAATCAGAGACCTACATGTTATTTCAGAGATATACTAACATTACCTCCTTGAAACAATGAACTAACTTGTAACACTGTAATAGATTGATGCTCACATAGAACAATTTAATTATGTAGAAAACAAATAGAATTGAATTAATACTGATGATCAGAGCCAAAAAATAAATAAATAAACCAGGGTAAAGGTTTTTGAAAATGATGCCAAAAATAGTGCGAAATTAGACACAATAACAAAAATGTTTCTAGATAACTAGTAGTCCTGAATTAAATGAAGATATAGGGCCAATGTACATTTCTAATCCTTCTTTCCATTGAAAGGGATTAACATTTGGCAGGGGCTCAAATACTCATGCTCTCTGAAGATTCCAATTCAGTCCCTCTGCTGTATTTTTGTCATAAATTGAAGTCACTTTTTTTTTTTTTTGCTTTCGATGACATATTTTCAGACTCTGCACTCATCTCCCTAAGTTAAACATGTAACATCTTAAACTATGACTAAACTGACAGACATGACAAAACATTTCAAAGGGAATTCTGCAAGGCTGGGCCAAAAGTTTCATCAATTTGGATTTAGCAGCCTTTAGCAGAAATGCAACAGCCACTGTTTTTTCAAACCATTGGGAAATACAAATTGCCTAACCTTTCTATTTTCCCTGCCATAGTTTTTCCTTGATTACTGATTCAAGGAAGAAGTATGCCTTAAAAAGCATTCCATAATTTCTTTTGCTACTTCTAAGATTGAGTAATAGATAATCTTATCACGGCAAAAAAAGTTGCACACAAACCTAGGTGGTATACCACATCCTCCAGTAATCATGTTTCTTACTGAAAGATGGCTGGTCTCAAACTCCTGACCTCAGGTAATCTACCCACCTTAGCCTCCCAAAGTATTGGGATTACAGGTGTGAGCCACCTTGCCCGGCCTGCTAACCCTAGTTTCTGATTCAGGTGGTCTGGAGTGGGGCCGAAGAATTTCCATATCTAACAAGTCCCTCTCTTTTCTCCTCAGGCTATAATGCTGCTGCTCCTGGGACCCCACTTTCTGAACCATTACTAAAAACACTTCCTAGCTGCTCCTGTTCCTCTTTCTTTCTGAGTCTGTTTCCAAAAACGAAATGTGGTTCAAGTCTAAGAGCTTTGGAGATTCTAAAAGCCCACTGGAACCAGAGGGATCCTGGTGGTCTGCTAGAGTTAAGCAAACTTTTGATAGAGCTTCCAGGTGAACCCTTAAATCCCACTGTACCCAATTTGATAGCTAGATATTTCTTTACCAATCCAGCACCCAGATAACATTTCCTTGGTGAGCTCACTGATAATGTTTTTTATCAAAATACTTGCATTTAAGTAGTAAGTATTTTTCCAACATTCACATTTCTATCTTTTGTCCTTTTCCGCACACATGTAGTTTGATCAGCAGTCAGTCAACACAAATGTATTTAGACATGAATATGATAATTGAAAGATGGAAAAGTTAACTCGTGATTGTTTCAGGTGCATTCGATACATTGATGATGATTCTTGCCAAATGGTTTGAGTTTTAATAACATGATTTTGCAGACCAACAGAGAGAGTTATTAATGTTTCCTAGATTACTTCATAACTTAAACTTCATCCAATCTCCTGGAATCCTGTAGAGATATTTTAAGCTAAGTCTTAAATTGGTCCTCATTATCTCTCTCTCTCTCACATACATACACACACACACACACACACACACACACACACACACTCTCACCTACATATACACATGCACACACAAACACAGACACAACTTGGGTAACAAATATCATAGCCTTTGGAGACTGATAATTTAGACCAACTTCTTGGTCTCTCTTCTAACAATGATACGCCATCTCTTTCAGTTAAAGACTCAGCGTACTCCACAAAGGTTACACTTTTGTTTATGCTTCACAATTAAAGTGGAAAGAAAGACTTTCTCAAATATTATGTGTTTATTGGGCAAAGGAATTTGTAATTGATCTAATAATTGGAAATCCAGTACCTCAGATGATCAGAAATAGCCACATTTATGTAAGTATAATATCCCATGCAAAAGTCAAGTATACTTTACTTTTAAAATTTAGTTTTGATTTTTTACCTCATCACAGTTTCCTATCCTCTCTCAGCCTCAGGGAGTTTATATAATGTACCCAGCAGTTCCCAGTTAAGCAAATGGTGGATTCCGATTTAGAATGCATCTCCATCTAATAACAAAGCCATGCTCTTCTATTGCACAACAATGTGTTTCTAAGTTGACCAAATATGTTCCTCTTTTAATGAAATGTATAATTTTAAAGAATTTTATGGGGAACAAAGGTTCATCTAATCAACCTCAGGTTTCAAGTGTGGGGTTATTTGGTTGTGGCTAGAGGTTAATAGGTGGGTTTGCCACTAAACTACATGCAGGAGTAGCTGCTTATTTTGATAGGACATTCTTTTCCATGCTAAATACAATGCACTGACATATATCTTAAAATACATAAAATTAAAAAGTATATGAACTCTCTTCTTTTAGGACCCAGAAACATTGTATATTTCTTCTATGCCCATGGTCAATCTCTACCTTAAATAATACATAAGAATGACAGGGAAGTTGCATTTCTCTGAGGGATTCTTTCTGGAATAATTTTAGACCTGCTTTATGCATACCAAGGAAGCTGTCAGTTTATTTGCTCTTCAAATACACAGAACTTTATGGGGAGAATATCTGGCAAATCAGAGACTGTTCACTTAGACACATTTTTTTTTTTCTTTTGTAAGACACAGAAGCTGAATTCTCTATAATAATTTATTCCTTATTTGGAAGTTTTGCTAATTTTTATAAATGAGTTGCAGAGAATGCAGATATGATAAAGATGCTGCAAAGAAGATTTTTATGTCTATACTACAAAATGGAATAAATCAATTCATCAAGCATATGGCTTATTAGGCTTAAATAGCTCTTTTCCAAGATGATTCTGAGCACCATATTTTGAAAGATAAGGTAGTGGGTTGTTGTTTTTGGATATTTGCCTTCATAAAGATAGGCCATCTGTCTCAACAAGTGAAAAGAGTTGAATGCTTTGATTGCTATTTTTCTAATCAAGACAAATTCAAACATATTTTAACATACTGATTAACCAGATCTGACATTATATCTTGGAGGTGTTTGCTGGTATCATCACTGTAAAAATTTCATGCTGGCCACAAAATTGTCTACATGCTCCATACTGGAC
The DNA here is from genome assembly GCF_000001405.40 of Homo sapiens. Lineage (NCBI taxonomy): Eukaryota > Metazoa > Chordata > Mammalia > Primates > Hominidae > Homo > Homo sapiens. Next base: position 167,410,087 of record NC_000005.10, on the reverse strand, counting down.
AGGTAAGAAGTTTATTTTCTGATGGTAGAGAGAAATTCATGCTAAAGCAATGAAGCTACATCATAATGAAATCCTAAAATTTGTAATTTGTTTAGTTGAGTTATTAAATTAATATTAATTACAAATTTCAAATCCTAATTTTTTGATACTTTCCTTATGATAAGCTTTTACTTCTAAAAAAACTAACAAAGAAGATTCTCAACATCACAAGAAAATTCCACAGTGAAATAGCATCATCAGTGTTAACAATTTCATCATGGATCACTGATACAACTGGTATTTTGCTATTATCAATGTGCAGAAACACACACACACAAACACACACACCCCTACCTGAATAAAAATGGCACAAGCACATTTAACACTACCAATACAATATACTTTTACTTAAACATGCTTTCTTTGCATACAGGAATTTTTTATTATTTAACAAATCAGAAAAATGAAAAACACAAATAAAATCATCTATAATCCTATTATGTATGCATGCCGCTGTTAATATTTTTGAGCACATGCTTCCAGTCTCCTTTCTGTGTGAGTTTCTCTTTGTTTTTTTAAAGCTTAATTGGTTCTATAATGTGTAAGCCAATTTTTAGGCTGCTTATTAACTTAACAATAGATGAATGAGTACTTCCCTATGTTATTAAAATTTCACAATTACTTTTAAAATTGCCCCTTCAGGATATGAAAGTTCCTTGTACTGTTTTTACAACTTTTTTGTTAAAGTTTATCCATCCTGCTTAGCCCAGACATTCTCATCACATTTTCTTGAGTGCTAAAAGCTGAGAGAAATCAAACTCTAGTCTTTAGTTAATATTACACCCTTTTTCACTGCACACAACTATTACTCCTGATCATAAGAATAATTATTTGTAAAAACTATAATTGGTTTAGTTTCTTATTCTTACTGCTGTATTCTTTTCAAGTGACATTGCTCAGTTTCTAGACAGGTAGACTTGAGTTCATTTTTATGAATAGCATGACCATCAATATATTTCCCAAGTGACTTCGAGTAAAGTCATATTTCAAGTTTTAATCAATGAGGTTACCTTAGTATATTAAATGATAATACCCTAAAAAATGATTGCACACATATTTGCATTTCAAAAATTGTATGTGTGTGTGTGTATATATATATATATATATTAGATTTGGGAGAAAATACATGGAAAGCATACAGGTCTAAAACACCATGACATATATAATAAAATGCTATGCCATATGTAAGATACTCTGTCATATATATATTAGACATATATATACACTATAGATACATATTAAATTATATATATATATGTATAAGATTTTGGGGGAAATACATGGAAAGCCTGCAAGTCTAAAATACTATGTCTTGGCTGATACCAGGCCCAAAAGTAAGTACTTTAGCACATCTCTAATACACTCAATAAGCTTGCTATTATTAACTAAAGACTGAATTTCAAGTACATTATGGCATCACTTGAAGTAATAGCAACTGAAATGTACCTACTTAATGGAATCGATCTTTCATAAAGACCGCAGTAAAGTATTATCAGAAGTCACTTATTGAACTTTATTTCTCAATGATATAATAAAGAGTAACATGTCAAGAATAAAAATGTCATTTATCACCTGAAGCTCTGGCACCTCAGAAATGCTATCAAGAAGTAGGGGGCATTCTTTGAGCAATACAACAAGAGTAAGAATTTGTCATCTACTAGAGCTTCTTGCCAAAGAGATCCTCAGTTCATTCAACACCCAGGTCCAAACCCTGAGGTGAGTTAGACATATATATTCTTGAAAGACAGCAATATTTATTTCATTGCTTTTTCCAAGCAAACTCCTTAACACCTCCAGTTCCAAGCTTCCTTCTACTTTTAGGAGTTGAAATGATTGGAAAGATCATACTTTGGCAGAGGTGGATTTATTTTCTCTATTGTGTTTCTATAGTTTGTCTCTGATATGTTTGGTTTTCAATGTCAATTTGCTAGATTTGATATATTCAAATATAACACACAATCCACAATGGGCCACAGTGGAATAAGGAAATGCAATGGAGTTTAGATATTTCCCCAGAAGAAGAATGAGAGTTTGATGAATTCATTGTATGAACTTCCAAGTACGGATGTGATCAGAATGTATATACTGACACCTCTTTTCATTTTTAGTCCCTTAATATTAAATGAGGATGGTTTTCCTTTCTAGGAGGAAGGTCCATTTGAGTGAAGTTGGAAATAAATGGCCTGTAGGCCAATTTCTGCCAGTTTGTGGTTTTTTGTTGTGGTTATTGTTGAGACAGAGTCTCAGTCTGCTGCCCAGGCTGGAGTACACTGGCATGATCTCTGCTCACTGCAACCTCCACCTCCCACATTCAAGCAATTCTCCTGCCTCAGCCTCCAGAGTAGCTGAGATTACAGGTGTGTGCCACCACACCAGCTAATTTTTGTATTTTTAGTAGAGATGGGATTTCACCATGTTGGCCAGGCTAGTCTTGAACTCCTGACCTCAGGTGATCTGCCCGCCTCAGCCTCCCAAAGTGCTGGGATTACGGGCATGAGCCACCACATCTGGCCATTTTTTTTTCTACAAAAGATTCTTTTTCATTAGATTTAATTAATTCAGGTAGTAAGAGACTTCACAGTGTTAAAAAATATATTGATATCTGGACTTACTTGGAAAATTACAAGATCTGGGAAATTCTGTACTAATTCCAAGAGAGCAACAACCAGCTGGGAACACAGCTCAGCTCCTTTAACTAGTACCTATGTTCTAGTTTGCTAAAGATGCCATCACTTGCAGAACATAGATACAGGTATCTATAACCAGCATATACCCAGTTATTTATATTTTTAGTCTGGTTCTTATAGATATTTGAGTTTGAGATCACTGCTCACAAAGTCCCTATAGCTCTACAAACCACAGTAATAATCTAACACAATGACAATGATACTGGAGAAAGAGAGATGAACTTGAATGTCCCAAAAGCAAGGGCAAAGCAGGTGGTATATTTCAACTGCATGTAGAATTAATCCATCCTCATTTCTTTTGTTTTCCTGTTTGCATTCTGTGTTTTCTCATCTCAATTGCTGCTGTGTGTTTTCCTTGAATGTTTAGTTAACATTGTAAACAAACACCTTATTTTCTATTAAATTATTAATCAAGAATTACACTAACTCTAGCATCTGGAAATGCAGCATTCTGTCTATTACCAAATGTCCATGTGGTTCAGTGGCCTGGTAATTAAAATGACACCACCATGACACATACACAAGCTAAAATAAAAATCTAAAGTAAGTAGGTATTTCCAAACATACAGAAATAAGACCTTCCCCAGGGAAGCAATAGGATGCAGAAAATGCAATAAAGAACTAGAAGTCAGGAATGTCTAGATTTTAATCTTGCTTCAGTACTTATACAATCTTAGATAAGAGATTCTTCTTGGATGACAATCAGTTTCCTCATCTGTAGAATGCTTTTTTGTTCACAGAGTTCTGTGAGGAAAAAAACTATGCTCATTATAACAGAAGACATTTTGTGAACTATAAATCAAGGGATAATATTGTTGGCAATTGTCTTAACAATCCAACTGATAAAGTAAAGCTGGTGATTTTCTGCTGATATACATTCACATTTATATTTCAAGGATTTGACCAGGCCCCGAAATACTCAATCTACTCTACTTCAGAATAAGCAACTAAGCATGCAATTGCAAAAAATAATTGAGCTCTTTAAGTCCATTGATAATACTTAATTCTATGAATATGCATGTGGAGAATAATACAATTTCCACAGGGTGCCTAATGTCAGGCTGTAAAGAAGCAGCAGCTGATTTCCATTTGGAAACTAAAGCAAACCCATCATTAAACATCCCGGATGAGAACTGACAAGGTGGATTACTGCAAACTCTAAGCAAACTTTACAAGTACCTTTAATTAAACAAGAGTCTATTCGTTTTTGCCATCTCATTTAGAAGCATTTATTTAGGGGTAGCATTTCTACTTAAAGACTTGGTTAGTCACTATTTTTGACTCTATTACTAGAGAAACTCTCAGTATGCTCTCTGACTGCTCTAAGAGGCCCTGTTTATATTCAATGTATTCTTCTCTGGTTGAAATTAAAATGAGAAAGTCTTAACAGCCTATGATAAACAACACTTTGGATCTAAAATGTAAAATGGCTTAGTTTGGGGGTTTTTGAAATCCTGGATGACCTGGCAAATCAATCACATTATTTCTGTCTCAACAGATAATGCTATGAAATGGAAGATTCTGCAAGTTCCTTCTCAGGAATGGTTGGCATCTCTGTGTGCGTGTGTGTGTGTGTGTGTGTGTGTGTGTGTTTGTGTGTGTGTGTTTGAATTGCACTATATCTAAGGTAAAAGTCTGTGGGGCTTATGTCCTAAAATTACAGGGTGAGGCTGAGTTAGGAAGAGATGAACAGAAACAGTTCTCATGGAGCTTTGCTGAATCTTTTGCAGAGCACACTGTCAATACGAAGAGATGTCTCTGAAGCCTTCACTTGCTTGATTTAAAATAGAGTGTAAGAGCCCGGCATTACCCAGATTACCTTTATAAACAATATATAAGAGCTCCTTGGGAAGGCTCATATTATGTGATTACTCATTCAATAAATGAAAAAAATGTTCAATAGTTATTATATCCTCACATTGGGCCAAGGGGCAATATGAGCAGTACCCTGTGGGCTGTCCATTTATGCAAAATGAGAAATAAAGGATCACAAAAGTCACATAACTTGACCAGAGCCCCATTGCTTATCAGCAGCAGAACTGGAGTTTGCACCCAGATGCAGGAAACTTCAAGGCCTATTTTGCACCATGCTATTCGGAAATCATACACGATGCCAAGAAGAAAAAAAATCAAAGAAACAGCCCATAAGGAAAACAACACAAATATCCATCAACTGATGAATGAAAAAAAATAAACATGCTATATTCATACAATGGAATATTATTTGTCAACAAAAAGGAATAAAGAACTGACACATTCTGTGGCACGGATTAATTTCAAGAACATCATGCTAAATGAAAGACTCCAGTCAGAAAATACTACATATTGCATGATTCTATTGACATGAAATGTCTAAAATAGGCAAATCTATGGTCACAAAGTAGATTGATGGATGCTGCTTAGGACTGGCAGTTGTGGAGGGGAATGGGAATGACTGCTAAGAGTTCTGAATTTCTTCCTGGGGTGATAAAAATACTCTAAAATTGATTGTGCTGAAGGTTGCACAAGCCTGTGATATACTAGAAACCATTGAATTTTGTATTTTAAGTGAGTGAATTGCACGTTATGTGAATTATGTCTTAATCATGCTGTTACAAAAAATAAGTCGCAGGAGGAACATGAAGAAACATGAGCAGGGCATGAAGAAGCAGAAAGAGATGACCAACACGCATGGAGAGGGTCATTGTAGATCTCCACTGTAGATTTCAATGATATGAGCAGCACTGGGTTTATCTTCATTGGAGACCATGGTGAAAAATACAGTTTCATGCAAAAGCAATTGTGATAAACTTCCAAGGAAGTCCCTTATGGCCTTACTGATGAATGTGGTTAAAAGGGCTTCCTTCAAAGGTTTATCTCTCCCCAGTGGGCTACACCAGGGCTTTTATCCTTTTAACTCGTATGAACTCTCCTTGCATGAGACCCATGTGATAGTCAATCATATTATTTGCCTTCAGGAGTCCTGTATCTAGCGTTATGAAGAATCTTCTGATCTTATCCTATGCTGATGGACGGTCAGTCATTTTTCATAACCCCAAATCACCATCATTAGTTTTTTTCTCAGGGAAATGCACCAGGAAATTCCCCAATTGCACGGGCCTTTCATCTCCCCTCATGCCTCTCTCAAACACCTCCAGTGCCTCTCTCTGCCACTCTTCTCTTCTACCCATCCTCAAGCTTAATAACACTCTCTTGGCCTAGAGACAAGAGGAGAGGCACAGATGGCACATCTTGAGAGTTAAATTGGTTTAAAATATAAGTGTCATTTTCTTCATGAAAGTTAAGAGGAGAAATAATTTACAATTCTCTATGAAACCATTATTTTAAATAGAGGGAAAATAGGTGAGCCTATCATGTTCCACATGTTTTAAAACATGCAGCCGTTCTTGTGTATATCACTTAAAGAAGAAAAAGAAAATCTTTTGGTGATAAGAAAAAATTACTTAAAAAAAAAAAAAACAGTTGTGGCATCATGCTATAAAGAAACTTGGCCAAGGAAGGAAGGAGGTTAGTGTTATGTCTATACTAATTTCAAAGTCACCACCAACTTTCTGTGTTATTCCCTGGTGCAAGCTTGTACATCTTTATAATGCCTTCAGAATAATTTATCACATAGTAAAGATTTTAAAAAATCATTATCCTTTTGATCTAAAAATCCTTATACTTCAACTTTAATATGTTCTTTCTGAAGAAGTTGCCACGTATATTTTACTCCTCTGAGAAATCAACAGCAGAGCACTCAGACAAGGTTTTAGGATCTTCTAATCCCAGTTTTTAAAATGTTATAAAAGTTTTTTGTTCTGTCTATCTACCATGACCCATACGTTCAGGTAGAAGGCATGAAGACCTGCGAAGCATTGACAAAACTAAGCTGGGGAAATCATTAGAAGGAATATCCAGACATTTCAACTAATGATTTAAAGTAAGTTTATTAGTTAGGAGTACTTCTTGCCTATGGCAAATATATTAGCATAGCATAAGTAAGCTATGAATAACATTGATTTATGTTTCGTCTTCAGGCTACTTCAAACTGTTTTTTTTTTACTACCAAAAATCAAGGGTGGCAGACATTTCAGCTTGGTTTGGCATCCCAAAAAGCATTTTTGAGAAAGAAGTCACAAATGGCCCAAATGTATTAGTATTATTCTCTCAATATCAGGGATGAATTAAGGAAATTTTGTTTTGCTTAAAAAAAATAATAACTATCACACACACTTACACACACACACTCACATATGTGCATATATACATATTTTCTAAGCTGGTAAATCTTTAGAGAGAGAAACTATAACCATAAGCAAATCCATTCTCTCTTGTTCCTCATAAAGGGTTTACCTCAAATCCACCAAAAGCTGCACAGTTTGGAGCTTTCAGGCCTTCCTGTGTATTAGCTTTAAGCATATACTTCTTTTATAAGGCCCTCAGAAGACTACAGAGACAGACCAAAATTAATTGAAATGATTTCACATTGCATCATTTAAGACTGGTCACCCAAGAGTGAATTAGGCAACAAGGCTGCATGTCTCATTGTTCTGATGCTGCTGGCTCTGAAGTCTCTTTAAACCCTTGTTAAGCTACAGAGCAGTTTTCGTTTGAAAATCCCTTCTATAGGAGAATAAAAGACATTAAAAATACGAATGGCTATTTACCATTTATTATGTGCTAGGAACTGTGGCATGCCTTTGGTGTATCATGATGTCCATTCTATGTGCACTGGAAAATTCCCTCATGTTAGGGGATGGGAGAAGGAGAAAGAGAGAATCTACACTTCAGCCAAAATGAAGGATGGGAGACATTAATCTCTTCATAAGTCAGACATGTCATTTCCTTCTAACTCTTGCTTACCATATGTGTTTCTCAAAACTCTAAATATATCCATACTTGATACATGTTCACATCATTATGTTCTGTGTATTATTATAAGCATTAAACCTTCATACATACTTCTCACTGAATAGGACTGCATGCATGAACCCATGCATTCTCAAATTTAGAGCCAGTTTAAGGGATTTGTCAGGGGTAAATGTTTCTACCTATGATTATGATTTTACCTCCTGGTTGAGAATAGAACCCAAGGAAGATGCAGTGCTCATATAATACATTAGCTTATATAATCCCACAACAACCTTTTAAAATGGATATTTATATTCTCTTTTGTCATTTAACTGGTGACCAAGGAGAATCTCAGAAAGATTAAAAAATCAGCTGACCACCCAGCTTTTACTTAGAAGAGATGGGATTCAAATTCAGGTCTGTCTCAATTCAAAACCAACTGCTTCTCTTATTTTAAAAAATGGTACTGACAATATTCTCTTATTTTAAAGGGACTGTTAAAAAAGCTGTAGCACTATATGATGATTAAATAATCAAAGTAAAGGAGGGAAGGGCCATTAAATATGCATTTGTTGGTTGGGGAGGTGACATGGGGTGGGAAGGAGAATATATCCTCTATAAGTTCTGTTTTTATCCACCTTCCTTTCTCCTCTGTCACTTAGGGAAATGACAAAGACAAGAGAAAGTTACAACTGAAAACAACCCTAACTATCCAACAATAATACAAACTGATTTCGTCCGTGAGTTTTATGCTATTTCTCAAAATTTAGAATGTCAGTGTTCTAATAGGATAATTTATTTCCATACCTAAAGCTGGAAAATAGGGGTTTTCTTAGATTTAAAAATATTATTTAAATGAATCGCTGAAGCCTATTTATCATCAACAATCTGATGCAACTTCTGAGTAACTCCCTCAAAGAGGGCAGTGGCTTTGATTAAAATTCACGGTTTAAGCTTGCAGAGGCACTACATTTTTAAGCTAAGTGTGTTAGCCTTTTATTCAGAACATTTTACACTTTGTCCTTTTAAAAATTTAAAGACTTCTTGTTCAATAATAATCCTCAAATGCTATATAAATTATGAGAATCTTACTGGCTGCTCATGATTCTCAACAAACACAATTTTTAGAATTATAATTTGAGGAATTCCAAGCATCAGCTCCTGTCCATAAGCATCCTTGCCCTGGATCAAGGTCCTCCTGGACAGAATATGATGAAAATTGTCAGTTAGCATCACTCCTTAGGCAAAGGAGTGAAGTTGAAAACTTCAACATATGTACAGCATGGGACAGACACCGTTCGATTGTCTACTGTATATGAGGCATTAGTACAGAAAATGCAAGATCTCTACATATGTACAGGACGTAGTGTTCGCTCAGCTTTTATTTTTTATACCCTCCTCTTTGTTAGGTTTTGTAAAAATTTCTTTATTTTTTAAGAGACAGAGTGTCACTCTGTCACCCCGAGCTGGAGTGCAGTGGCAAAATCACAGTTTACTGCAGCCTCAACCTCCTGGGCTCAAGCAATCCTTCTGCCTCAGCCTCCCAAAACGCTAGGATTGCAGGCATGAGCCACCACGCCCAGCCTTTGTTAGGCATTTTAATCAAGCACCTACAAGGACCTCACTTTAGAATATTCCATCAGATGTTACCAGTGTCAAATCCAAAGGCATTTTCTCATTCTTCATCCTAATTAAATATTTTGTGGCTTATGGCATGGTTGACCTTGCTCTACTTAATAGTCCCTTCTGCCAAGAAGAGGATAGATTCACCCTTCTATTCTCTGAGTATCCTTTCTCCATCTCTTCCACTGACTCACCTTCCTTGGATTGTCCCCTAAAAGGGAGCATTTCTAGGGTCGTGTCCTTGGCCCTGGTACCTTTATATTCCCTCTGCCAGTCATCTCATCCCCTGATGTAGCCCCATTTATAATCTATGGGTGATGGTTTTCTTATCTTAATTTCCAGATTCACGTTCTGATTATTTCCATAAAAACATTTCCAAGTGCCTATTTCCACATCCTCATCAGAAGCCCAAGAAAATATATACTTCATATTTTTCAAAACCAAACTTCCTGTTTCCCAGTCAGATGTTCTCCTCCTACCCTCCATCTCATTTATTGACTATACTCTAACCTAGTCATCCTACTTGTAGTCCTTAAAACCCACTCTAGAATCCTCCCTCTCTCTATGAACCTGTCTCTACCCACTTGGACCAGTTGCTAATCCCTGTCAAGTTGCCTCTGAAACTTCCCTCCTCCACCTCACTCCTTCCCATCACTCTCATTGCCCAAATGGGACCATTATCAACTCTTGGCATTCTAATTCCTCCTTCTGGTTCAAGTCCTGCTTCTCTCAGTGTAGATTCCACATTTAGAATAATTTTTCTAAATGCAAATTTAATCAATCCACTCCTTTGTTAATAACCTTCGGTGACCCACATTTGCTTCCATGGTAAAGTCAAAATACTTTGCTATGCAATTCTACATTTTCCAAGAGCTGGCTCAGGATTAACTTTCTAGTATTTTCCTTTCTCACTTTCAATTTCTCTCTCACTCCACTATTTCTTTATTTCCCGATCATACCATGTAAGAGCTCTGAATTTACAGTATCTTTGTATTCTCAGCTTAAGATGTGATCTATTCTGTTTCTTTACAAGAACAATGTTCTTCTAGCTCAAAGCCAGGCCCAAATATTAACTTCTTTGTGCAACCTTTAATCATGGCATACTATGTAAAATGTTGCCTATACCAGGTAGTAGATACTACATTGAGCCCATTTCAAATATTTTACTAATTTACTCTTCACAATAAAGTCATGACTTGGTTCTTCCATCATACCAGTGCAGAAAACTCTACTCAGAGAGATGAAGTCGTTTCCACATCCCAAAAGCTAGGAAGTGACAAAACTGAGCTTTACACCCAGACAGTCTCATTCCAAAGAAATGTGCTTAATTATTGTGCTATGCCACCTCCTGTCACCATTTAGGACTTTCTTCTGAGGATGTGAATTACTTGGGGGCAGGGATTTTGTGAAATTTATCTTTGTATTTCTAGTTCTCAGCATGTAGTAGATATTCAATAAATGTTTGATAACTTGTGTTCAGAATGAGTGATGCTGCAGCGTTCTGCTGTAGTTAAAGGCGCTCTGCACTACAGCCTGCAGTTGGGCTTCTTGCATATTTTGATCCCACATCTCTCGCTCGCTCCTCGCTCTGCTCATCCTGGCTTATTATTGGCTTTGATCCCTTTCACAGCTCCTTTTATCATCAACTCTGTGAGTCTGGGATGGTTGCATCTCTATATTTACTGGATTAGACTTCTTAATTAATATTTAACTCCCTTTCCTTGAAGAACAAAATGAAAGCAAAAATGAAATCACCTTCTAGAATTCCTTTTTGATATACGAGGCAGAACTCCCGCTTGTGACAGGTTCCCAGAAAAAGAGGACAGTCACTTTAAGTGAAAATTATCTAATCCCCATCGCCTTTAATGTCGGATCGATTCAAGAGCAGGGATTTACATATCTGCCCAAGGACCTGACAGCCAAGGGTTATGAAGGAGACACAGAAATCACATTTAATCATTTGCATGTGATAAATCTATAAGCTTTCAAAGCAGTCTACATTGACTAAATATGGCAAAAATTATTTTAAAAACAGTAACACCAAAAATAATCGGTACTATGCATGAATTGTTTACTACGTGCCAGGCACTTCGCTAAGAGCTTAATATACTAGCCCATCTCATTTAATAATCATAACAGGAATAAGGGAAAGGGGGCTGGGTGCTGGTGTAATCCTAGCACCTCACGCCTGTAATCCCAGCACTTTGGGAGGCCGAGGCAGGTGGATAACTTGAGGTCAGGAGTTCGAGACCAGCCTGGCCAACAGGGTGAAACCCTATCTCTACTAAAAATACCAAAATTAGCTGGGCATGGTGGTGCATGCCTGTAATCTCAGCATCTCAGCTGCTCGGGAGGCTGAGGCAGGAGAATCACTTGAATCTGAGAAGCAGAGGTTGCAGTGAGCCAAGATGGTGCCAACTCCATTCCAGCCTGCACAACAGAGCAAGACCCTGTCTCAAAAAAAAAAAAAATAGTAAGAAAGAGAGAGAGAGAAAGAAAGAAAGAAAGAAAGAAAGAAAGAAAGAAAGGAAGAAAGAAAGGAAAGAAAGAAAGAAGGAAAGAAAGAAGGAAAGAATAAGGGAAGGGGACAATTATTATCCACATTTTGCAGAAGAAACTAGTGTTTTGAGATCTTATTGGTAATTTGCCAATGTCATGGAGCTGATAAAGGACAGAATTAAGGTTTAAACACTTGTCTATCTGACTCCAAAATTTCTGCACTATAGCCTCGATTGTCTTCATATCAAAAATTATGATATTGACACCCAGAGAGATTTAGGTCTGTTGCCCTTGGAATAGTAATGGCCATATAGCTAGTTAGTCGCAGAGCTAGGACAAGAAATTACATCTCTAGACTTTTTCTACTAAGCCCTTGGACCTCTCCCATTAGTATGTTACATCATCACAGTGCATGGAGTATATATAGTTCTCATATTTTCTTCATAAAAATACATTGGAAGTTGAAACAAGACTATGGTCATAGGCACAGTTTTCCTAGGAGAGATAGTAATATAAATCTTTGATATTTTTAAAGCTGTAAAGCCCACTTAGTGGATTCTAGAGAAAATGATTCTGAGACATGTTTTAGAGACTTTTTCTTGATGCGAATTTCAGAGAAGCAAACAAAGATATATGAGATCAAGTTGCTATTCTGGTATCTTCAAATTGCAGATACCATTTCTTAACCTACTCTTTCAGCAGGAATAGAAACAGTATCTTGTACCCTATGAATAAGATACATATTTCTTTACAAGGTATGATATAATCACCTTCCCATGGTTCTCTCAATCTCTTCCATGATGGTTTGTTAATTCACCACATTATTAATCTCTTCAAAATAAGAAAATTGTTATCTCTTCAAAATGAGAAGGGTCAGTTTTATATTGAATCATGGACACACGCATACTCAATGCTCGGTTTGCAACAAAACCTATCAATCACGGGTCCATATACATTGTTTTATAAATGATTTCACTATCATTTTCTTTCATTAGTTAATTTTCAGAATGTTTTTGTGATTATTTTGAGAAAAACTTTGTTGAATTAAATGAATAAGGACTTAAGTCTCCTGATGAGTATGGTTTTAACAAGATAATATTTTCTTATCTTTCATTTTTTTTGAGTTTGCCTTTCTATTTTCCTTTCTCTTTCCTTTCTTCATTTTCCTGCATTCTCTCCTATTCTCCCTCCCTCCCTTCCATGGTTTTGTGACTCATTCTGACAAGCAACGTGGTAGCCTTTGGAAACACACATAAATAAGATGTTGTCCCTATATTCAAGATTTCTTACAGTGTGTTAGAAAATGTTTCTTCTTTCTCTCTGCACTCACCAAGGACATCTTGACTCTTTTTATTAAAGGAAGATTCCATTACTTCTCCAGCATCAAAAGTTTATCACTGCCTTCATTGAGAAATAGATTGGGGATATTTCTCCAGGATCAACAATGAAACTCTCCACCAGGACTGAACCACACTTTTGCTGGTTCTTCTAACCCCATCCATCATCAGGAGTTAAGAAAGGTGCCCAAGATGCATCTCTCCCTAGCCCTTGACATTCAAAGCCTTACCTTCACTGTCTGCCTTCGCCCTTGTCATGTCTACTGTCCCTCTGTATGTCAATCACTGAAAAAAGTCTTAACCATTTCTCCAAATGCTCATTTCATGGTCTCGCTCCAGTAGAAATCTTGTTCTTCCTAAGGACACTACTTTCCCTGGAGTAGTTACAGGTGGTGGCAGTTTTTCCTCCCTGTGCCCTCATGCCACTGGCACTGAATATATAAAAGAGATACACACTGCTTCTTGTCCTTGATACAGCATGATGCTTCACTGCTCTGTAGACATCCTCAGCTTTGCATCTCTTGCCATCAGATTTTATCACCACATTACCTCTTATTCTTGCTGTCATTCACTGACACCCCTATTTAATCAACAACTTCCCATTTTCTCCTTCTTTCAACCCCTGGCAAATTTCATTCTACTCTGTGCTTTTATGAGTTTGATTATCTTAGATACTTCATATAATTGAATGCATGCTGTATATGTTCTTCTGAGATTGGCTTATTTCCCTTCACATAATGTTCCCAAGGTTCATCCATGTTGTATCATATGGCAGGATTTTCTTATTTTTATGGCTGAATAATATTCTATTGTATGTATACACCACATTTTCTTTATCCACTCATACACTGATGGACATTTAAGTTCTCCCCACATCTTGGTTACTGTGAATAATGCTACAATGACTTTGGGGGTGCATCTATCCCTTTGAGATTCTGATTTTAATTCTTTTGAATAAATACCAAGAAGTGAAAATGCTAGATCATAGGGTAATTCTATTTTTAATTTGAGGAAACTCCATATTTTTTTCTATAGTGGTTGTATCATTTTATATATTCCCACCAACAGTATATAAAAGCTACGATTTCTCCACATCCTTGACAACACTTATCTCTTTTGTTACTGCTTTGATAATGGCCATCCTAACAGGGGTATGAGATGGTATCTCATTGTAGTTTTGATTTCTATTTCTCTGGCTATTAGTGATGTTGAGTGTCTTTTCATATATAGCAAGTCCTCACTTAAAATTATCTATAGGTTCCTGGAAACTGAGTTTAAGTGAAAGGATGTATAACCACATCATTTTTTTTCTCATCAACTTTATACCCTAGGGATGTCAAACAAAATGGCATCATTCAAGAGTCACTGCACTTTGTTTTCCTTAAAGTTACAATTTCCAAGAACTTATTGATGAGATTAAGTGAAGACTTGCTATATTTTTGGCCATTTGAATGTCTTCTTTGTAAAAACCAAAAACTTTCCTTCTAAGATCAAGGACACGACAAGGATACATGCTCTTACCATTTCTATTCAACATAATGCCGAGAGTCTTAGCAAAGCAAGTAGACAAGAAAAGGGAATAAAAGGCATCCAAGTTAGAAAGGAAGAAGTAATGCTATCGCCGTTTCCAGATGACACAATCTTATATGCAGAAAACCCTAAAGACAAAAGAAAAATATCCCAACCCCACAACCTGTTAGAACTGATAAACCATTCAGTAAAGTTGCAGGATACAAAATCAACATACAAAAATTAGTAATATTTCTATACACTAACACTGAACTATTTGAAAAGGAAACTAAGAAAAAATCCCACTATAATAGCAGCAAAAATATATTTAGGAATAAACTCACTCAAGGCAGTGAACGACTTGTACAGTGAAAACTATAAAACTTTTATAAAAGAAATTAAAAGAGACACAAATAAATGAGAAGGCATCCCATGTCCATGGATTGGAAGACTTAATGTTGTTAAAATGTCCATACTACCAAAAGCAATCTACACCTCCAATGCATCCAATCCCTACCAAAATTCCAATGACATTTTTTAAAGAAATAGAACAAATAATCCTAAAATCCACGTAGAACCATAATCTTGGTTCAAAGCCAAAGCAATCTTGAGAAAGAAGAACAAAGCTGGAGGCATCACATGTCCTGATTTTAAAATACATTACAGCCTGGCCTGATGGCTCACACTTGTAATCCCAGGATTTTGGGAGGCTGAAGCTGGTGGCTCACTTAAGTTCAGGAGTTTGAGACCAGCCTGGGCAACATGGTGAAACCCTGTCTGTAAAAATAGAAAAAAAAATTAGCTGGGCATGATGGCGTGAGTCTGAAGTTCCAGCTATTCGGGAGATTGAGGCAGGAGAATCACTTGACCCCAGGAGGTAGAGGTTGCCTCCTAAGCCGAGATCACACCACTGCGCTCCAGCCTGGGTGACAGAGTGAGACTCTGTCTCCAAAGAACAAAACTAACTAACTAACTAAATAAATACATACATACATTTATTTATATTTATTTATAAGTCTATGTGTCAAACTGACACACAAAATAGTGTTCAAAACAGTATGATACTGGCATAAAAACAGACACATAGACCAATAGAATAAAATAAAATGCCCAGAAATAAAGCCACATTTATATAGTCAACTGATCTTCAACAAGGATCCAAGAATACAAAAAGAAGAAAGGATAGTCTCCTCAAAAAATGATGTCAGAAGAATCAGTCACATGTGAAAAAGATTAATTTGGATCCTTATCTTTTACACCATACACAAAAATAAATGTGAAATGATTACAGACTTAAAATGTAAGACCTGAAACTGTGAATCTCCTAAAAAAAATTGGGAAAGAACTTCATGACTTTGGTCTTGGCAAAGATTTCTTGAACATGACATCACGGGCACAAGCAATAAAAGCAAAAATAGGTGGGACTACCTCAAACTCAAAAGCTTCTGCACAGCAAAGAATACTAGCAACAAAATGAAAATGCAATCTACGGAATGAGAGAAAATATTTGCATACCATATATGAGTTAAGGAGTTAATATCCAAAATATATAAGGAGCTCCTACAACTCAATATCAGAAAACCATATAGCCTTATTTTAAAATGTGCACAGGATTGAGAGTAATCTTCAAGGAATTGTTTGCAGACACTTCTCAGCCAATACATCCAGAAATACTCCTACCTTTACCTTCAAAATACATTGAGAATCAGATCACTTCTTCCTACCGCTATTGTCCCAGACAGACACTGTCATCTCTTGTCTTGGTTACTGCAATAGCCTCCTGTTCTCCCTACTCTTGTCTTCTTCCACTATATTCTCAACACAATAGCCAGAGCTATCCTTTTACATGGGAAGTCAGATCATGACATTCTTATGCTCAAAACTCTGTCTGGATGCTTATTTCCCTCAGAGCAAAGGCCACCATTTTAAATAATCTGTGACACCCTCTATGACCTGACTTCACCTTCATTTCTCTGTTCTGGTTTCCTGCTATTCTGCCCAATTTGCATTCTGCTGCAATCACATTAACTTCCTTAAATACAGCAGGAGTGTGCCTGCATTAAAATCTTTATACTAGCTCTTCCACCTGACTGAAATGCCACACCCCTGAAATCTGTATAGTCAATTCCCTTTCACAGCTAGTTTCTCTGTTCCTTGAGGTTTTCATTCAAATGTCAGCATTTTAATAAAGTTTTCCTTGGCCCTCCGACTCCCGTTTACTACTGCAAAACTCTCACAATCACAAACTCCTATCTATTTCTACTGTCTTCTTTTTCCCATACCATTTATCACTACATAGCATAGTTTTTTCTTTATTTCCTTCATCCCTCCCTTCTATTTATCTCTCCCTCTCTTCTATTTTCTCTCTTTTTTCTTTATTTCAAGTTCATTTTTTATTGCCTAATAAAAATTAACTTTTTTTTTCCTTTTTTTTCCCCCGAGATGGAGTCTTGCTCTGTCGCCCATGCTGGAGTGCAGTAGCATGATCTTGGCTCACTGCAACCTCTGCCTCCTTGGTTGAAGCAATTAGCCTGCCTCAGCCTCCCGAGTAGCTGGGATTACAGGTGCCCTCCACCACACCTGGCTAATTTTTGTATTTTTAGTAGAGATGGGGTTTCACCATGTTGGCCAGGTTGGTCTTGAACTCCTGACCTCCTGATCCACCCGCATGGAGAGGAAAATGTGTTTCTAGTTTGTTAATGAATATACTCTAAGCATAATAGACAATAGATGCCCAATAACTAACTAAATAAATATTCTGAGTACAATAAAAGTTTGTAGTTAAATGTTATTGCCATGAATTACTCGATACATTTTGAAATTACAGACAACATATTAGTCAGGCTTCTCCAGAGAAACAAAAATAATAGAATATATATCTAATGAAGAGATATTATAAAATATGGCCTCACATGATTTTGGAGACTGAGAAATCCCATCTGCTGCCTGCAAGCTGGGGAAAACCCGTAGTGTAGTTTCAAGGCCTGAGAGTTGGAGAGGTTATGGTATAGATTTGGTCTGAAAGCCTGAGAGACAGAAATGCTGACGGCAGGAGAAAACCGCTGTCCCACTTTAAACAATCAGCCAGAGTAAACTCAACCTTCCTCTATCTTTTGTTCTATTCAGGCCATCAGTGGATGGCATCATGCAGACCTGCACTGGGGGAGACCATTGACTTTCCTCAGTCCACTAATTCAAAAGCTAATCTCTTCTAGCAACAACCTCTCAGGCACACCCAGAGAACATTTAACCAGCTACGTGGACATCCTACGGTCCAGTCAAACTGACACATAAAATCAACCATCAAACTAGTTTACAATTATATGAGAACTCTTATCTTATTTATTTTTGTTCCTGTGACCCTATCCCTTTTTAAATTCCTTTTCTCTTTCTCCTGTACTGATGAGGCTCAGCCAGTCTTGCCTCCTTTGAAACAGAATAATGGAAAGGAAAAAAGACTGTGGGTTGAGAGATGATAAAAGCCACACCAACACCGGAAGCCATCAGGGAACCCTAAAGAAAAATCACACCAACAAGAATGAACAAAGAACTACCTTCTGCAAACCACTGATTTCAGTCTCTCCACCCAACACTTAAGGACTACTCAGAGTTTGCTCCTGGCTCCCTCCTCTTCTCTCTCTACCTTTCCCCTTGGGTAAGCTCATCTACTTTCCTGGATATATATGGGCCACTCCTATGCTGCTGATTCTCAAATTGACATCTCCAGTCCAGATCTTTTTCCTAGGTTCCAGTCTTAATAATTACACAATTATCCACATTGCCTTTCTACTTAGTTGTCTTACTTAACAATGTCTAAAATGAATAAGCCCCAAATCCTATCTTCTTCAAGTATTTCTCATCTTAATACTTAGGAATCCATCCAGTGGCTAAAGTTAGAAATCCTTGAGAGTGCTTTTTTTTTTTTTTTTTTTTTTTTTGATGAAGTCTTGCTCTGTTTCCCAGTCTGGAGTGCAGTGGCACAATCTTGGCTCACTGCAAACTCTGCCTCCTGGGTTCAAGCAGTTCTCCTGCCTCAGCCACTCGAGTAGCTGTGATTACAGGCACAAGCCACCACACTCAGCTAATTTTGTATTTTTAGTAGAGACGGTGTTTCACCATGTTGGCCAGGCTGGTCTTAAACTCTTGACCTCAAGTGATCTGCTCGCCTCAGCCTCCCAAAATGCTGGGATTACACACGTGAGCCACTATGCCCACCCAAGAGCTCTTGCTTTTCTTTTCTCAACTACTACATTCAAACTATCATCAAGTTCTGTATACTCTAGCTCCAAAATTCATCTCAAATCATTTACTTCTCTACTTTGGTGAAGGCTACACCATTTCCCCTAAATTCTTGATGAAATGGATAAATAAAATGTTAAAAAAAATTTCAAAGGAGTGGGAGTACACCTGTAGTTAAGGAAAACAGAATGATTTCATAGAGGACATGGCACCTTAGATAATTCTTTGATAATGGATAGGTATGTGATGGGTAGGTGGGTTTGGGGATACCACTGCAGCCAAAAAGAACAGGGTGAACAACGACACAGAGGAAGAGAGTATGCTCTGGAAAAAAAATAAGTAGCTCAGTTGAGCTGGAGCTGAAAATATATTTAGAAGAGAAGTGGGAGCAAGGGCTAAAACCATAAAATTGGACTATATTGTGGAGGGCCTGAAATACCACAGTGGGACAGATTAAGTTGATTTGTATACTTCCTGCTTTCTCGACGTGCCTTGTTGTTCATAGCCATAAATGTGTATCAGTGGAAATGGAAGACAACCTGTACTCTCTTAATTGTTCTGCATTTCACTGGGGTCTTTTCCATTCTAAATGTACAAGGGAATGCCCCAGAATATAGAAATGTTTCTACTGTTTTTTTTCTATATCAATTATTAAGCAACACTGTATATTAGCAGAGCCATATGCTTATTATAATAGTAATTGCTTCCACATGCTTATTTTCAGAGTCTTTTCTTATGTACTGAGATATTTATCTTGCCTGCAGAACTACCTATTTTGTGAAAATACCAATAGCAGGGCCACCACTGTGTTTATGATTACTAACCTCATTGAATCAAAGGCACCGCAGATGGAGGAAGTTTTAAGAATATTTAATACATAATTTACTCGATTCTGTCTCCTCAAGGTGCCTTGCAGACTGTCTTAGTAGATGTGAATTTCCTTTCATCATGTGGAATGCAATTCTATCCTTGGTTTGTTATAAATTAACAATCTGATATAAAGTCCTGCATTCCAAACAATAGCTGACATACTTAATATGGAAAAAGAAATTCCCCACTCTACTCAGAGCTAGCATTTCTTCTTTGGTCAGTGCAACAATTTTAAATTGCTTTCTAGTTAGCACTGATTTCTGATAAACCAAATCAACTCCGTAAATACATTTGGTGTTCTATCCCACAGAAAATAAGTCGCATGCTTTTGAAAATGCAGCCAAGTGATCTTCACACCAATAAGTGAACACTTTTTAAGCATTTGTATAAACAATAAGGTACAATAGGACCTGGGATCACTGTAGACATTGATCTGGGATCACTGTAGACATTGTAAAAAGCTAATACAAACTAAAAAGTGAGATGCATCGTCCCACTATCTTTCCATATGGAGAAGAAATACAAATCATGAAATAAAAAATACACGTAGACAATGAATACATGAAGAGTTGCTCAGATTAAAGTGAAGGGAAGCCAGAATAAAAATATTTCGATCCGTAATTTGGTAAAATATTAATGATCATTCCCAGTGACTCCTGAGCTCAAGGATTCCGTGTGCCTGTTGATTTTCCCACAGTGCTGGTGCAAGAGTTCCTCTGAGGACACTGGTTGAAAAGGATTGCAATTTCACATAACTGTGTATGTTCTAAGTCTTCTAGGAATTCATCTTAAGAAAACAGTCAGGGATGTCCACAGGAATGTAGCTATAAGGATTTTATCCATCACATTGCTCTTTACTGCAACTAAAATAAAAATTAGTTAAATGTACAATGAAAGGAAATTGAGGAAATGGATTACATTAAAGGAGTACTATGTCCCTCTTAAATATTGGAGAAAATATTTAATGTCATGGGGAAATGATTTTAGTTTATTTCCAAAAAAAATAATGCTATATAGGGCATGTAAAACATGCCAACTCTGTAAAATTATTAATTTCCCTCTCACTTTCTCTCAGATAGACACACAGACTGAAGGATATATGCATCAAAATATTAACCATAGTTATTGTTGGTGTCAAATTATAGGTGATTTTTATTCTTTTTCATGCCTATATGCATGGATATATATATATATATATATATTTTAAATGCACTATATATATACGCACATATGCTTTGCATAATTCTATGTTATATAGTTAATACAAACGTATATCTATAAATAATGCATATAAAACATATAGATATCTTACTTTGGGCAGCATAAAGATTTAACAATAAAAATTGGACTTTTTCAGAAATTGTTAGTATTAAAGTGAAAAACTGGTAGCATTAGGATTCTGTTTTATTTTGAGAGTCCAAATGGGCTGAGGATCTTTAGAAAGTAACACAGAGAACAATATTTTTTATCAAATTCTATAGGACCTGATAAATATACTTACTCTGATAACATAAGGGAGAATGAGAGTAATAAAACTTAGTACTCATCTTTAAAAAGTTAGAAAAAGCACAACACAATTATATCAAACACTCTTTCAGACCACAGTGGAATATAACTAGAAATCAACTCCAAAAGGAATCTCAAAACCATGGAAGTACATGGAAATTACATAACCTGTTCCTGAATGATCATTGGGTCAAAAATGAAATCGCGATGGAAAGTAAAAAATTATTCGAACTGAATGACCTGACACAACCTATCAAAACCTCTGGGACACAGCAAAGGTGGTTCTAAGAGGACAGTTCATAGCCCTAAATGCCTACATCAAAAAGTGTGAAAGAACACAAACAGACAATCTAAGATCACACCTCAAGGAACTAGAGAAACAAAAAAAAACCAAACCCAAATCTAGCAGAAGAAAGAAAAAACCCAAGATCACAGAAGAATTAAATGAAATTGCAACAAAAAAATACAAAAGATAAATGAAACAAAAGCTGGTTCTTTGCAGAGATGAATAAAATTGATAGACCATTAGCAAGATTAACTAAAGAAAGAGAGAAAATCCAAATAAGTTCAATAAGAAATGAAACGGGAGGTATTACAACTGACACCACAGAAATACAAAAGATCAGTCAATGCTACTATGAACGCTATGCATAAACTAGAAAAACTAGAAGAGACGGATAAATTCCTGGAATGGTACAACCTTCCTAGCTTAAATCAGGAAGAATTAGATACCCTGAACAGACCAATAACAAGAAGTGAGATTAAAATGGTATTTAAAAGTTACCGAAAAAGAAAAGTCCAGGACCAGACAGATTCACAGCAGAATTCTACCAGATATTCAAAGAATTGGCACCAATCCTATTGACACTATTCCACAAGATACAGAAAGAGGGAAACCTCCCTATATTATTCTATGAAGCCAGTATCACCTTAATATCAAAACCAGGAAAGGACATAACCAAAAAAGAAAACTAGAGTCCGACATCCCTGATGAACATAAATATTAAAGTCCTTAACAAAATACTAGCTAACTGAATCCAACACCATATAAAAAAGATAATCCACCATGATCCAGTGGGTTTCATACCAGGGATTCAGAGATGGTTTAACAGATGCAAGTCAATAAATGTGATTCACAGCATAAACAGAATTATAAGCAAAAATCACATGATCATCTCAACAGATGCAGAAAAAACATTCGAAAAAACCCAGCATCGCTTTATGATTAAAACTCTCAGCAAAATCAGCATACAAGGGACATACCTCAAAATAATAAAAGCCACCTATGACAAACCCCCAGCCAACATAATACTGAATGGGGAAAAGTTGAAAGCATTCCCTCTGAGAACTGAAACAAAACAAGTATTGCCACTCTCACCACTCCTCTTCAACATAGTACTGAAGTCCTAGCCAGAGCAATCAGACAAGAGAAAGAAATAAAGGGTATCCAAATCAGTAAAAAGGAAGTCAAACCATCACTGTTTGCTGATGATATGATTGTTTACCTAGAAAACCCTAAAGACTCCTCCAGAAAGCTCCTAGAACTGATCCAAGAATTCAACAAACTTTCCGGATACAAAGTTAGTGTACACAAATCAGTAGCTCTTCTATACACCGACAGTGACCAAGCTGAGAATCAAATCAAGAATTCAACCCCTTTTACAATAACCACAAAAACAACAACAACAACAACAAAACACTTAGGATTATACCTAACCAAGGAGGTGAAAGACCTCTACAAGGAAAACTACAAAACACTGCCTAAAGAAATCATAGGCGACACAAACAAATGGAAACACATCCCATGCTCATGGATGGGTATAATCAATATTACAAAACGACCATACTGCTGAAAGCAATCTACAAATTCAATGCAATTCCCATCAAAATATCACCATGATTCTTCACTGAATTAGAAACAAATTCTAAAATTCATATGGAACCAAAAAAAAGTCAGCATAGCCAAAGCAAGACCAAACAAAAAGAACAAATCTGGAGGCATCACATTACCTGATTTCAAACTATACTATAAGGCCATAGTCACTAAAACAACACAGTACTGGTATAAAAATAGGTATATAAAAATGGGACAGAATAGGGAAGCCAGAAATAAGCCCAAATACTTGCAGGAACTGATCTTCAACAATGCAAACAAAAACATAAAGTGGGGAAAGGACACCCTTTTCAACAAATGGTGCTGCGATATTTGGCTAGCCACAGGTAGGAGAATGAAACTGGATCCTCATCTCTCATCTTATACAAAATCATCTCAAGATGGATTAAGGACTTAAATCTAAGATCTGAAACTATAAAAATTCTAGAAGATGACATTGGAAAAATCCTAGTCATTGGCTGAAGCAAGGATTTTATGACCAGGAACCCAAAAGCAAATGCAATAAAAACAAAGATAGGTAACTGAGACTTAATTAAACTAAAGAGCTTCTGGATGGCAAAAGGAAAAGTCAGCAGAGTAAACAGACAACCCACAGAGTGGGAGAAAATCTTCACAATCTATACATCTGACAAAGGACTAACAACCAGAATCTACAATAAACTCAAACAAATCAGCAAGAAAAAAATAATAATCCCATCAAAAAGTAAGCTAAGGACAAGAATAGATTATTTTCAAAAGAAGATATACAAATGGCCAACAAACATATGAAAAAATGCTCAACATCACTAATGATCAGGGAAATGCAAATCAAAACCACAATGTGATACCACTTTACTGCCGCAAGAATGGCTATAATCAAAAAATCCAAAAATAATAGATGCGGTGAACAGGGAACACTTCTACACTGCTGATGGGAATGTAAACTAGTACGGCCAGCAAGGAAAACAGTGTGGAGATTCCTTAAAGAACTAAAAGTAGAACTACAATTTGATCCAGCAATTTCACTACTGTGTATCTACTCAGAGGAAAATAAGTCATTATATGAAAAAGATACTTGCACACGCGTGTTTATAGCAGCACAATTCACAATTGCAAAAACGTGGAACCAACCCAAATGCCCATCAATCAATGAGTGGATAAAGAAACTGTAACACACACACACACACACACACACACACACACACACACACACACATATATATATAATGGAATACTACTCAGCCACAAAAAGGAATGAATTAATAGCTTTCACAGCATTATTCTAAGTGAAGTAACTCAGGGATGGAAAACCAAACATCATATGTTCTCACTTATAAGTGGGAGCTAAGGTATGAGGATGCAAAAGCATAAGAAAGACACAATGGACTTTGGGGACTCAGGGGGAAAGGGTGGGAAGGGGCTGAGGGATAAAATGCTACAAATAGGATGCAGTGTGTACTGCTCAGGTGATGGGTGCTCCAAAATCTCACAATCACCACTAAAGAACTCACTCATGTAACCAAACACCACCTGTTCTCCAATAACCTATGGAAGTAAAAAAAAAAAAAAATTAAACCTAAAAAAACCCCACAATATACTCCAAAAGTTAAAATGAGGAAATTAAAAAATACAATAAAGATGAATGTAATGAGAAAGAAAAATTAAAGTAAATAAAGACAAGCAGAAAGCTTGAAAAAAAATAGATCTCTTTCAAGTCTGATTAAAAAAATGAGAGATAAAAATATAAAAGATTAGAGATAAGAAGGGAGACATAACTATAGTTACAGGAGCAATTAAACAAATTGCATGAGAATATGACTCATGAAGAAGCGGCAAGGATATAGAAGCAGAAATAATATTCAAGAAACTATTAATCAACCTGGAATAGTTCTAGCCAACGTTCACCTACAACACACTTACTGTGCCCTTAAAAATAATATTATGACTTCTTTCCTTGTGCAAAGCAATATTTGATGCTACTTTATTATTTAATCATTTGGTTAAATATTATAAACACTGGAGTCTAATTGTTGTAATACTGTATTCTACATGTAAGCAGAATAGATTGCACTGTAAGGAACACTCCCTGTACTGCGGGAGTGTGGGGTTATGTACCTCCTCCCATTTTCCTGCTATTCAGCATAAAATTATATGCTTTTTGAATTTTATCATCTTAGTTACTAATATTCAGCATTCATATGGTAGTCAGAGGTTAATTTCTGCTACTGAAATGCTAAGAAGCAGGTAGACTCTTTGTGGTATAAGGGTTTCTGGAGTCCTTCTACCTGGACTACTGCTTCTCTTTCTGATATCACTTCTAACTTTGTTACTTTCCATCCAAACGTGTGTGTGTGTGTGCGTGTGTGCGCGCACGCGTGTGCACGCGCTGTATCTGTGTGTTTTAATCAGATGCTTCCTAAGATATTGCAGTCTTTGCTCACATAAACTTTCAATAGTTCTGTATTATCTGCTTGATCAGACTTTAACTCCTTAAGATGAAGCTCACAGCTCTTGGTCATCTGATTGCTACACATCTATTCATCTATTTCTACTGCTACTCAATCAAATCACTATATTCCCATTATCCTGACTGGAGTTGGAATTTTTTCTAGACTAGAAAGTGTCCCCTGAAAAATCATCATCATCTTCACCTCACCTCCCATTCTCCAACCACCATACACTCTGGCTTTTCTTCATTTAGAATATCCATCATCTCATTTCCATACATAAAAGTCCCGACCCCTATTTACAACCTAATTAAAACCATACCTTCTCAAAGCTTCCCTTACTGTACCAGTATGCTAACATATATAATGTTTATTTTCTTCTCTCCCTATTGAGGTTAGACAGGAATGTCTCTGTAAATGCATAGGAGTGCTTGGTTTCTTCAAGAAACAACAAAGTCAATATTTTTGTCTATTCATCTAGGAAGTGAAAGTCAGCAGAGAGAATTAGAAGAAAAAAATACAAATTTTACTATAACATAGTTAGGTATCATTAGCACATACGGTCATTACCAATACAAAGACAACCAAACAGGTTGCCACAAAATAATGAATTATCCAAATATTTTGAGGAGTGAGTGGTTGCTTAGGCTTAATTAGACCTGGGAAATAAAAGGTCTAAAACAATCAGCATAAGCCTTTTGGACACATCTCCAATGTATACATTTCTGTATTTATGTAACCTGTTCATATATGCTATGTGTGTGCAAGTGTATGTGTGTATATACATATACCAATAAATTACTTGCATCATAAAACATATTCAAAAGTTAAAATTTTAAAGAACAAGGGAAAATGAAGGTACATTTATACGGAAGTTTTTTTTTTTTTTTTTTTTTTATCCTGCACCAGTTTATCATGATGCTCAAATCATATCTTAGAGACATGATCTCACTAGTTTTAACGAGAGGACAGAATGTAATAATAAAAAAATTAGCTCATGGAGTAGGTGATTAGGCCCTGCTGGATGCAGGTGGGGAGGGAAGATGTTGGGGGAAAGACGAAAGTTGGGAAAGGAAGAGGGACATATTTCAAGGAAAGCGGATTCCCCACCAAGTCAAATATTTATCTGACAGATTCGAACTGGTTCAGAGCTCCCCAGAGGCAAGAGTTCTTCTGTGGGACTTGAGAAAACATGGGTGTTTTTCTGTGGATTCTGACTTACATGGGTGAGACAGCATCATTGGTTTAAGGGATCCAAGGCTTTAAAGGGCATGCTCCTTGATGTAAGATGACCCATAGAGTTCAAGACCCACGAAGGTCAACACAGGTTTCTCTTCTCTCTCTCCCCCCAAAACTATATGCTACAAAATGTCTACATTGCTCATTTTGGCATTTTCGTATATGGCCTTCATTTCCCTGGAATTTGGTCAATTTATATTTATTGATTTCTATCCCTCTCAATAACATCCCTCTTCCCAACAAAGCACCTTCCCCACCATGCACACACAACACAGACACACAAATACAAAGAGACATACACACAATGGCTTCGTCCAATGCAGAGCAATTAGCAATTACTTGAAATCTTTTCAGAAATAAGTCCCCCCACCCCAAATTAACACAACTCTTCATCTGAGAGTACTTTTCTATTTTTCACCAATATTGAATAAAACAACACATAGTTTTATATATTTGTGTGCATATTAAAATGTTCATATCTAAGCATAGTGTGGTACCTTTCAAACACCAATTTTCTTCTTTAAAAATTCCTTTCAAAGATCCTTTTTGATTATTGAATGTGTCATAGTCTATTTCTTGCATAAAATACTACAAAAAATACTTCCCAAAACTCCTCCAGTGCCTAACTTTCTCACTGTAAGTGAGTTCAGGCCCCTTTTCTCATGATTAACACAGATGGAAAGACTGCCATGGTGTTTATCTTTTTTATTCCCCTCAGAATGGTATAACTCTGCATAGGTTATCTGTTAACCTACTCTTTTTCAAAGAATGCCTACTCAAATATTTCAGTCCCCTTTCCTTAGGAAACATGCTCATATTTCAGTTATCTTTTCTTCTTCACAAATAAGAAATGAGGATGGGGAGTGAGAGTCACTCCTGAATGTTCCTTGGCTATCCTGCTTATCCACTGGTTGAAGAACATTCCTGGTTTGTGGAACACTCGCTGTTCTGTTTGTTTCTGACTCGCTGGTTCCCATTTCAGCATTAGCTAACATTGCTCCATGTCTTTCTCTCTTGGCATACTGGAGGTCTTCGTGTATCACTGCATGTCTCTCTTCTAGCCTTCGCTTTATTGTCTCCAACTTCATTGTTACAGACCCCATAAACCATTTGCTGGATCAAAACTGAACATAATTAGCACAAAGTCATTTTCCTCCTCTTTAAATGGCTTCCTCCTGAAAAGCCCTGGGGTTTTCTTCAATCAGCTGAAGTAGCTAAAGTTTTTAAAGTAGGTTTTCCCTCCATCTATTTCCAAATAGTCCACCTAAATACTTTTACATTAAAATAGCTTTAAAATTATGTGTTAAATCAAATACTCTGACCTTAATTTTTCAGTACTTCAGGGCATCTACTACTTCGGAAAATGGAGTTGACATATTACCCACTTAAACTCACCCCCCACATATACAATCATTTTATTACTTTCCAAATTAAATTGATTGTAATTTGATTTAATTTTATCTGAAGCATTTAAATCTAAATGCCTTAAAACCATTTTAGAAATTTAGTAGAGCAAAATTAAACCCACTTTGCAGATGGAGCAAACTTACCAAAAGAAGTAACATTCTAGCTCTGAATACATGAACCCATAAAATTGCTGAGTTCTAGCTTTCTACAATTTTTATATCTGATTTCCATAAAGACTGTATGTAGGTCAGGGTTGATAACTCAAGGGACTACAAAGGCTAAGTCAGACCTTAAACAACAGTGTAGCCTGGAGGAAGATCAGGTGACCTCAAAGACATGGAATCTATCCAGAACTGCTACTGCTTCTAATCTGATCTGTCCCAACCAAAACCTGAACCAGTGTGACTGAATCTTCTTATGTTTTGAGAACGGCCAAAAATAAAAATTTCTAATATAAAATCTCTTACTTTTAAAATGTTGGTTGTTAATCTAAAAATGTTTGATACTGCACTAAGCAAATTAAACAATTCAAACTGGATTCAGCCTGTAGACTAACATGCAGTTGGTAACTTCTGTTGTTAAATATCCCATAAGCCACTTAGCCACACCTTAAACTCCTTTAACATTACTCAAACTGAGTTGATGGAAAGCAAGAAAGAATAATTTTCTAGAAGGTTCTCACAGCTAGCACTTAAATAATACTCAAAATTAAATCACAAGTAACATTTTTAGTTTCATGTATAAGCCTATATACATAATGGCCACATATGTGGAATTTCCATCCTATTTACAAATCTATTATTAATACCTGAAATTTTCTTCTACCTGCTATGTCTCAGTTTCCGAATGGCTAATTGAAGTGCCTCATTACTCCTCATACATTCTTCTCTAACCCGTTTACTTTGATATTATTTTCTGAGCAGGCTTCTTCTGATTCAATTGTCTGTAGAAAACTTATACTATCAACTTCCTTAGCTTTAACTCATCTTATTTATGACCTTAATTCTCAATGCATGGCACATCTCTCCCACCTATTAGATAAACTTAATTTGATCATTGACAAACAACAACTAAACTTAAAAAAATGACTGAACAATAAGCAAAAAAAGAGTTTTCTGACTGAAGAGGCTTCCAATCGTGAACAGACAAAAACATTTTGCTTCTTACCATTTTACTGCCTTCGCAGTAAAAAGAGCAACTCAACTGAAGTTAAAGTACTGATATCAGGAACTCAGCAGCTTAAAACCAAATGATTATCCACCAAGCCCAATGTGTCCCTGAAGGCCTGGAGATTACACATGTAATAATCAGGCTGCCCTTGCCAAAAGGAAGGCTTAGTTCTTCATTTTATTTATTGTATTTATTGAATGGAGCCATTCCTTGATAGCCCCTGGGAGCATTAACAAACATGAAAGAAACTACCAAAGGAAAGAAAGAAATATATAAATAACTAAAGACCATGCCACTAAAGTTTATAATCTGGAAAGTGCAGTACTGAAATAAGGCACAGGCTCCTACGCTCCTTGAAGTACTCTGTTCTCCTTTACAGTAACGTAAGAATTGCTTAATTTGCCAAAAACGTAAACCTCTAAAGTCTCATACGAGTCCATTTGCAGAACATCAATCCTTTCACTTCTAGCTTTCATATCATGCCATGTGACAATGTGATATTCTTACATTTTGCCTCTGGTTGTATGTTATTATCAGCTGTGTTTTAGCATCATAGTAATCATATATTAAGACTCCCATGAATAAACTTTTTAAAAATAAGTTTTCTCTATAGCTTCCAATACCTGGACTTTGAGGGAATTGAATTAGAAAAATGTAAAGGAGATCATTCTTTCATTTAGGAATGGAAAACACAGAACCTATGATATTTTGTGTCTGTGTCCTTCGTTTTTTTAAATCCATGATAACTCATT
This sequence comes from Homo sapiens, assembly GCF_000001405.40. Lineage (NCBI taxonomy): Eukaryota > Metazoa > Chordata > Mammalia > Primates > Hominidae > Homo > Homo sapiens. Next base: position 167,380,057 of record NC_000005.10, on the reverse strand, counting down.
TCATACTCTTCTTTATAATGGTATTCTTTTAAATGTACAGGTATATAAAATAAAGCCTAAAAACACAAATTGAAATCAATGTCATCCAAATGGCTTAAAACTTTGTTCTGGGTTTTTTTTTTTTTTGGTATGTTTTTAAATTTTGTTTTGTTTTTAAGAAATTGAGACAATTTTCTTTAGGTTCCATGGAAATTGGCTTCATAAAATGTGGCTGGAAAAGAAATCATCCCATATCAACATCAAGCACAGTCAAATATGAATGTATGCTTTTTGTAGCTACCTCTTTCACTATTCTTACCACTGACTTTTCACTTCCTTAACAGCAAAATTATGGGCCTTTGGCTAGGTCTGGAGCTCTTAGTAAGTTTTTATGTCTGTTCCAGGCATTCTCTGTGATTTTACGTGAGGGATTAGGGAGAAGAAAGGAGTAGAGTGGGTTATAAAATACAAAGTTAATTTGAGCATGTAAGAGTAATAGAGTGGGAGTAGAAATAGAATTCCACTCGCATGTTTAGTTTGTGTTTACTTAAGAAACGCTCCAATGCTAGATTTATTGAGAGGCCGCTTTCTGGAGAGAAAGGAGAAAAATTTAAGTAACTCACCTTAAATGACAAATGAATGCAACTTGGTTGGCAGTAACAATCTAAGGACATTGTCCCCGGTGCTAAGGAAAATCCTTCCTTCCCTCAGGCTTCATTCCTCATGTCTCAGTTAACAAGCAGTGAGTACCTGGGTGTGTTGGAACTCTGCCGAGGAGACAGATACGCTACAGACCTTTTGCCAAAAGGACTCAATCTAATAGAATCTGTGTTTCACAAATACGCTTTACATAAATCCATTACGTGCCCAGAGCCAGCTTGTTTTATAAATGCATTTTGTGAAATGCAATGGAATTAACCCAACATTTATATCTCAACCTCAAAGTACATTATGAGGATTGTAAATTTCCCAATTACAACAGATGAAAATGAACATTGTACTTATTTACTTTGGGTGGACATGGAGAGGGGAGGGGAAGAATAATTTTCTTAAATGTTTAACCAACACCAGATTTCACTTACTGCCATTTCTAGCTTCCTATTTCATACCAACTTTATTTTCTTTGTTTTTTGTTTTTTTGTTTTTTCCCTTTCTGGATTTCCAATAAAATAACTGAAACTAGAATTCTGCTGGAAGGAAAAAAAAAAAAAAAAGGAAATTTTTAAGTCCCAAGGTGAAGAAATCGCCTAAGGGAGTCAAGAGAACATAGACAAGATTTTTTAGTTTGTGCTGCTTTGCATCTTTAAGGAGGCAATTAGTTATTCTTCTGTATTACTGACTACCCCTTTTTCTCCATAACTCATATAATACAAATGGCCTTAGAGAGGACATATTTTAAGTGGGACATTTATTATTGAACAAAAGTATGGACTCTAATTTAAAGTTACTAGGAAAGCCCTTTCAAATTTCACAGCAGCAAAAACTTGGCCGGGCTGTTCTCAACTCTCATTGCCATTTCTAGCCAAATCATTATTGACTTCAAGATAGGATTAAAGAACCTGAAAAGATAACATGAATCTGAGAGTTTTATATATTTGAAGCAACCCAATCCAAGCCAGCACAATGTTAATGCAGAGGCTAAATCAATGAGTGTAGGATGAAGCACTATGGTGTCTACACTACCAAAAAAAAAAAAAAAAGAAGAAGAAAGAAAAGAAAGACAGGTTCATCTGTTTGATGGGACTGTCAAGTTATCCAATGGGTCATTTTTGTCACAGCAGCATGTAGGAAGCACAATCAACATTGATCTAGGGAGAACTGTTGGCAAAATTAAAGATTTTACTATATGACTTTGCAGACTGAATATACACTTCATATTACCAAAAAGGAAGTTGGTTTCTGAGATCTGTCTTCACTCATTAACTATGCTTAGCAAAATCACAACTGGAATTTTTTAAGGGAGATTTTTAAGTAAACACGGTGAAAAATCCATTTATCCCAAAATCCCACCAAGAAATGAAATTAAAACATATGGAACCCCACAGAAAAGATTCATTTTCTGACCATGTATCTTTAAAACCTAAAATCAAATTGGAGAGCTTCTTTCTCAAAGTATAGATTCCTGTTACTTCCTCTTCAAGAAAGGCATACCTAAAAGGTTATTGATTTGGTTCTGAAGGACACAGTGTTTATTATGGAGGAAGCCATCACTGGGTACAAGTGTGAGAAATTAATGATGGCTTTGTAAGTGTCCATGCCGTGGTGTGGAACCAGTGGGGCAACTGTCAATCTATATGATAATACATTCCCAAACTTCATAAAATCAGTGATGTGAAAAAGCATTGATTTCTTTGTGAGCTAAACAGAATTTGTCAGAGAGAAAGAGCAAGAAGTTTACTGAAGTTAACACCTCTGCCTGCAGAGTTGCTCACACTTCAATTTGTATTTGCTTAAAGAGTTTATGATGTGATGTGTAAAATTTCTTATTTTTATTTCTGGCCAAGAATGAGAACAGAAGATACATTATGTACCTCTTTTGAATATGTAAAATATTGAAAAAATGTTTTAAAAAGAAAAACAAAGACATTCTACCTGTATATTTTAAAATAAGCATCTCTCACCTAGTTTGAACTCTGGCTTCAATACCTCCTTTGTGCCTTGCCAGCCACACTCACATACAGAGTTGCTTAGTGCTTCTAAGTACATTTCTCTTCATGTAATTCTGACTGCATTGCAACTAGTACTGTAGGAAAGAATCAGGACACTATATCAAGGGTTTATTTCTTATCAGTATGCAGGGATTTACATAGACTCGCAGAAAGTAAAAATTATTCAAATACGATGTTTCAAATAATATGAAAAAAATGAAACTACTATTGGTCTACCAAATATATGATGAATTTCAGATTTTTTTCATCCATAACTCTCCTAGGTAAATTCATGGCAAGCATTTTTTGTGCCCTTGGCTTCACCAGAAACCCTCCCTTATTAGATGAGTTTTTTAGATGCATATAACTTAAATGGGAGAAGGTGCAGGTCTATAAATATGTATAAATAACTCTGTATAGACGGTTCCCTCTATAGGTATAAGAATACCAACTATGAGGGACTTGCTAAAATTCCTTGTTTAAAATGTGCCATAAATTCTTGGATTACAAGTGATTTTATTTATTAGGCAATCAAATTGCCTTCATTTAAATAGTATATGACACACACAATGAAGCTGAAAAAGGACACCAGTAAATGGATTCAACGTATGCTTTTATGGAAACTTCTAAAAGTAATTTCCTATTAAATAAGCACCTCAGAGTGTCAAATGTGCCAAGTGTCAGAATTTTGTTAAAATTCAAAAGGAGTCAAGTACAGATTTTTCCTTGAGAGTACACCTTGATTAGCTACATGAACGGAGGCATAAGTAAGACACATCCCCTTGTCCCCACTGTAGAATAAATTATTTCAAAATTAAACATAAATTTAAATTCAAAAAAGTGACATCTTTTTGAGTATGTGCGACTTACCCAGGAAATGATGTATTTTCAACACAGTTTTGAGATTAAATGATATTTAGCTATGCTTTTGCATTCACAACAAGCTGTCCACCTGCAAATTTCCTTTTTCTTTTTTAAATGAAAGGAAATACTTAAAGCTGCTCTGGCAGAAGTTTCTAATATTTTATATAAACATTCTTAACTGATCTATTTGTAAACATTTTAATGGTAATGGTAATTCTTTTAGCAAACATGCCATCTATTCATAACAAACCACATAGCATTTGATGTTTTCGTCTTAAATCAGCTGTAACCTAATGCAATTTATCTTTTTAAAAAAATGTTTTTGACTAAACACACTTCGGAATTGCTCAGAAACCCACAAAAAAGCACCTTATCTCTTTAATGACTTTGCTTAGGCTTCTCTATATTTACTGCTTAATGATCGGAAGGATTTAATTTTCAAAGTTTCATTAAAATCCACCTAGAAAGCTGATGGATAGGCAATAGTGATTTGTGACAGAAGATGGGGGAAACCATTAACCTACATAGTTGCCAAGGGGAAAAGTAAACATATAAAGAATTCTTTTTCTGAAGACAAGTCTCTTCCTATTTGTCATTATTAAGCTCCAGAGCACCTGTTCCAAGTTTGATCTTCAATACGGATATGAGGCATTGCCGCCTGGAAATGAAAGTCTAAGATAAGGTGGGATTCTTAAGAGATCGTCACGAAAAAAAATAACCCAGGTTTCCATTTACTGGGAAGGGGAAATCAATACAAAGACCTAGAAACTTGTGGAGAGAGGACATTTTCTAGGTATAGGTCATAGTTTATCAAGCCGCCTCTTTTGCAATGTAATTTACTTGCTAATAAGACCAACTGACTACACCTGAATGCTGTGTTATCATCAGAATGTGATTTTTAAATTCTCTTCTCATTTCTTGTGTGCTGGAGGGTTGCTGGTTTACTTCCCCCCAGCTCACACTGGGTAGACAAGGTCGATTTCAAAGAAAATGAATGGTTTTATGACGCCGCTTCATTAAAAAACAAAAACATTCAAAGCCCCACGTGGTGCAGTGCACAGAACGTTAAAAGGTATTTAAGAAGCAGGCCTACCGTTCTCATCATCTGATTTGTTTTCGTTGTCAGAGTCAGTCAGGGTAAGGGCCGAGTTTTCACGACTGGACAGGCCGGAACTGCGCCTGGATTTTATCCCTCTGCCCCACAGTCTGATGGCGTGTTCTGGAGACATCCCTCCCTCGGTGTCGGAGTCGGCGTCAGACCCTGTGCTAAGGGAGTAGCCCTGGTGAAGGATCCCCATGTCGGAGCAGTAGCCGCTTCGGTGTGGGGAGGGCTCACAGATGCCCAGTTCGGCAAGGGTGAAGTTGGTTCCTAGGGTGACAGTGACAGAGAAGCTGATTAAAATTTGTGAGATGCTTTACAAAGTTAAAATTTATCCTTACAAAAAAGCAGCCACTTTTCCCATCTGACAGATACATCAAATTCACCATGGTGTACAGAAACAGATCTTGGACAAGAGTATTCAGGACAGTGGGATACCTTTGAAAAACAAACAAAAGAAAGAAAGTAAATATCGATGATAGGACAAAATGCTCAGATTTTATTTCAGAGATTTTTAGGCATGTTGACCCTGTTGTCTAGGTAGCTCCATGTAGCTGAAAAAACCCGGAACGTATCAAAATAGCTAATATACACCAAGTGCTTACTTGTGCACATTTTACTTTGCAACTTTTATATTTTTTAATGTTTTGCAACTTTATGAAGATGATAATATTACTGTAATCCTTTTGTAGATGAGGAAACCGGGGACCAGAGGATTTAAGGCACTTATCCAAGGCCATGCATCTTGATGGTCGCAATACCTGGATCTGATCCCTCCGCAGGGATCAGATTAAGGTTCAGGTCATACAGCGTTAACCCTCTAATGAATACGAGTGGCAGCTAGAAGACCTGGGTGCCCGTCCTAGTTTCCACTGACAAGTCTCATTTATGGTAATTCCCTTAACTCCACGAACCCCAATTTTCTCATCTATAATATCTGGGCATTTATCTCTTAAAATTTTCTCAGGGTGATTGTGTGCCTCATATAACATGTGCCAAACTAGTCGTTTTTAATAAATGCTATCATGCATTGCTTAAAGAGAGGGATACGTTCTGAGCAATGCATCCTTAGGTGATGTTTGCTCTGAGAACATCAGAGTGACTTACACAAACCTAGATGGTCTAGCCTATTACACACCTAGGCTTAGGTTTAGCCTACTGCTCTTACACTACAAACATGCACAGCATGTTATGTACTGAATACTGTAGGCAAAGTAACATAGTGGCAAGTATCTTTGTATTTAAACATAGAAAAGATACACTAAAAATACAGTATTATAATCCTACAAGACCATGTTGTATATGTGGTCCATCATTGGCAGAAATGAGGTTATGTTAGGTATGTATATGTAATGTGTCACTGAAATCAGCATCCTAGGGATGAAGAGCTAGTCCTTTGGTTTCTAAATGGTATCAAAGAATCTCTCTTTGCTAACACAATTTAAAGCCACAAGTTGGCCTCACTTACGGAAAGTGAATGTGTGCACATGGGGACCTATAGGGGGAACTCATGATCTGACAGGGAGCAAAGAGAATAGGTTTTTATTGAACACGTTGTCATGTTCTATAAACGTGTGTTATTAGGTGTCAGAAAATGGGCCAGATACCTTTAGGCTTTATGCCATTTAAATACCATCATAGCCCAGCATTTTAGGTGTTGACATCACCACTTTACAAAGAGAGGTTAAACACCATGTCCAAGGTCACACCTGGGCACACAGCAGATCCAGGTTCACCTCTGTACCTGCAGACTCCCAACTTGTGCTGCTTCTATAGTGTCAGCAGTCTCCAGCAAAAGCAAACCTGGCAACATTTTGGTGCAGTTTATTTATTTGTGCTTACTACTTGGCTCCTTAAAAGATGTTTTAAGATTTCCATGCAAAACAGATAGAATCATGTGGTCCACTCTACTTACTGATGTATAATGCTGATTTCTTTTGTCTTTAACCAATTTATGACAATGAAAAAAATGCAGTGAAGAAATGTACTTCTCTGCTATGAGTGGAGAAAACCTCATAAATAACACCAAAGCCAAGAGTTTACCCACTCTACGTATATCTATTACATTAAGATCATTCCTTATCATTCTGTCTCTAAACTCTTGATGTAACTTGACACTCTATGGTAGCCTACATACTCGATATCATTTTTTACCTTTTATTTTACAAACCACCAAACCACTGTGTAGCTCACATTAACCTAGTGGGACTTTAATTTGTAATAGACATATGTCTTTTTATTCTGAGCTTTTTTCTTGTCTTCACTGAACACTGAGCTTTCCCAGCCTAATTTGGTTGTGTAAATGGAATCAAGCCCAATTCTATACATAATTGTCTCTTCAGAATGAAACTTATTCATTGGAGAGCTAACCCAAGTGCAGGTTCCTGTCAGCATGGGGTGATTACCCACTACCTGTGCAGTGAAGAGGGAAGTCCTCTCTGCCATCAGCACACTGCTAAGTGCTGCTGTTTATTCCCTGGGTACAGTTTATCATGCTCTCTGAAATTCTCTGCCCAGAGTATTCTGTTCCAGTTTGCATCCTTGGTACTGTCTCATAATTATACATTAAAATTTATATTTCAGTCTCAGTAGTCTATGAAAATGAAGTTACTGAGTATGTGTGTATGTGTGTATACACAATATTACAAGATCTTTCTATTGTTGCTTTTCTCATCCTTAAGTCATTGAAAAAAAGTCATTTGATATTAATATTCTTCCATCTTGTCCTTAGAGAGCAAGTTCCTTCTGGACAGAGTCATAAGATATGTTGCTTCATTTTCCCACAATAAATGAAAACCCAAACTAAAACACATATTTTTATTCCACATGTGAGGATTTGTAGCTATGTAATCCCATTTAAAATGGAGTGGGTGTGTATTAAGACAACTTTTAACATGGTTTTCCCACATCTCATTATCTAGAACTAGTTTCAAAGACCTCCTCAGGAAAGAAGGAAAAGTTGTATGAGGACAGGAGGCTTTGTGAAGAGCACTGCATGTGGTTTTTGGCCTGGGTTCCAGAGGTAACAGTGGGCTGAGGGCCATGGGAGGACATGGAGTACACACAGTGCCCCTTCTTTAGTTAAAATTACTTGAGATAAGAAATTGAAATCTTATTTTTATGAGAAAACAAACTTGAGGTCTTCAGGAATCAAGTAAGATTTGCATACATTTAAAAAGTAACCACAAATGTTAGAAAAGAAAAAGTGCACTTTAAGAGTTTCACCTTCAAGCTTATAGCCCCCGAGCCACAAAGGAACAGCATTGTAAAGAAAATTGGAAGGTCTGTGCTGAATTTGCCAGGAAAAGCTAAATGAGTATGTTTACATTGGTATATAGAAAGGAAGATTTTCCTCTAAAATCAATATTGATTTTTTTTTAAAATTACCTTTTCATCTTCACTTTCCAACAGGTTCACTCCTTGCCAATGCCACCATTTCCCCACAATTCCTAGTTTGGTATCTTTCTACTCTCCACTAACTTAAAGAATAGGAACCTCATTGTAAGTATTAATACCTGGAACAGGTTCTGGACCAAGCTTTTTCCAGGTATGCTGGCTTAACATATGAAGCTGGTGAGCCATATACTCAGGAGAAAGAAATAAAAATGGGTCTATCCAGTTATTAAATCACTCAACAAATATTTATTGTTCCTAGTACTGTGTGAGGCATCAGGGATATAACAGTGTGCATTATAAAAATATAGTCCATGACATTTACAGTCTAATCGGGGAAAAAGGCATTAATCAAAGAATCACATAAACAAAGTGCAATCCATACAGTGATAAATATTACATAGGAAAAGAACAGGCCGGGCGCAGTGGCTCACTCCTGTAATCCTAGCACTTTGGGAGGCCGAGGCAGGCTGATCACCTGAGGTCAAGAGTTCGAGACCAGCCTGACAAACATGGATAAACCCCATCTCTACTAAAAATACAAAATTAGCCGGGTGTGGTGGCGCATGGCTGTCATCCCAGCTACTCGGGAGGCCAAGGCAGGAGAGTCGCTTGAACCCGGAAGGCGGAGGTTGTGGTGAGCTGAGATCACGCCATTGTACTCCAGCCTGAGCCTGGGCAACAAGAGCGAAACTCCGTTTCAAAAAAAAAAAAAAGAAAAGAAAGAAAAAAAAAAAAAACAGGGAGCCATGGAGGTCACATCGTGGTGCAAGGTGACCTCATGCCTTGCACAGGTCAAGGAGGTGCAAGGAAGCCTCATGCCTTCACAGCCTGTTCACCAGCTGTTCATCTAGTTTGGGGTGAACACTCCAAAGGACTGGGGATTTACTCTATTGAGAAGCTATCACACATACCTACTTCAGTTTGCTCATACCATACCCAGTTTTCCCAAATATTCTTCTATATGGATTGATTTCCAACCATTGTTTTCCATGTATTTTATCTTACAGCAAGAAGCCCTGCATTCTATACAGACTTCTCAGAATGTAAATTAGTATGGAAGCATTTTTAATACTAGCTCAACTTACTGTTTTGCACTTACTTTGCTCATCGATGGGAGACTGATTTTGCCCTAATTCATCTCGCATAATTATGTTTTCAGTAAGCTCTGTGGCAGCTTTGAATGAAAGAGAGAAACTACTCATTGTGTGATTCTCCAAGCTAAGATTTCTAGTGGAAAGCCGTGAACCCTTCATTCTTCTTTACTATCTTTCAGAAAGATAACAAGGAGGCACAATATATCAGTATTCATGGAATACATATGTATTATTTATCTTCTATCTGCCTCCAGTCTCCTGATATCACTGATAAAAGTGCATATAGATGATGTGCCAATACATTTTATTTCAGGTATGTGCTCTATGGCTGTTGCCGATAACTCACCCAGTGTGGCCCCATGGTACATTATCAAGGCCAGAATCAATATTTTTATAGATAAACGATTACATGCAATCTATAATATTTACATAAAGCAATTTTAGTGTAATTTAAGGTTGGGAGAGAATGTTAATGTCTAAAAACTGTTCAGTGATCAAAAGAGGGGAACACAAGTCTTAAAATAACTCTCTTGATAAATATCTTGGACGTTAAATTGTCTTTTCTTGATCGTAACCACAGTGTATAATCCAGATCCTCTCCACGTCTTTTTTTTTTTTTTTTTTTTTTTTTTTTTTGAGACGGAGTCTCACTCTGTCGCCCAGGCTGGAGTGCAGTGGCGTTATCTCGGCTCACTGCAAGCTCCACCTCCCGGGTTCACGCCATTCTCCTGCCTCAGCCTCCCGAGTAGCTGGGACTACAGGCACCCGCCACTACACCCAGCTAATTTTTTGTATTTTTAGTAGAGACGGGGTTTCACCGTGTTAGCCAGGATGGTCTCGATCTCCTGACCTCGTGATCTGCCCACCTCAGCTTCCCAAAGTGCTGGGATTACAGGCGTGAGCCACCGCGCCCAGCCTCCATGCCTTTTTTAGAGAGAAATTTTGCAACAGAATTCAAGGGTCATTCTTTGACCCACTAATTCTATTTGGGATGCAATTTTAAGGAGAGATATGTCTTTGCATTGTGATCATGGCTTTATTTTCTAAGTTTTTACCAACTTTGAAATAACCTTTAACTAGGAAAAGCACATATGTAGTTAAGTCAGAATTATCATGTCATGGTAATACCAGGATACACAAATAGCACTGAAAATGCCAGCATTGGAACAGATTTTATACTACAAGGGCAAGAAGATAAAAGCTAACTGTATGCAATACAGAAAACTTTCATTGTCTAAATGTTTGTTATGCAAGCACCCTGAATTTAAGAGAAGTCATTTTATACAGAGAAATAAAAGTTGTAATAACATGAAAAGTCACGAATGACCACTTATAAAATTAATCCCTACCCATCCCTGCCCACTTTCTCCTAGTATCTCTTCTCACATCAACTACCGTATCAACGTCTAAGTAATTAATTACTTGCTGATAGCAGAAAGTAATATGGTGCCAATCTATAATTAGATTGTAAAGCTTGGGAAGTTGCAGATTTTCATGAAGTCAAGAAAAATTATGCAAAAAAAAAATAGTTCATCAAAAAGGTCACAGAATAACGAAAATCTAACAGAATTAAGTCAGTTAACAAGAGAAGATAGAAATAGTGTGGTCACGACGATGGGAACTTCAAAATCTGATTTGACAGACATCTGGTTCTGGACCAAGATTTAGTGTTCCCCTTTTCTACTTTTCCCACTAAGTACAGCTAAAACCCCTGGACATTACATACAAAAATCACATAAGCAGTTTCTGAAAAATGGGACAGGACAAGGTAGACTTAACAGGGTCCTGGAGCCTCAGGAACTACATGGTGGTGAGTTCCCTGGGGTTTATTTTTGCCTCATATGTTCCAAACCTGGTGCTAGAGAAACCTGCAAATTGGAAACGGCAGCAGACAAAACAAGCCCCAAGTACAGCCTGCTGTAGCAAGGAGCCCCATCCCTACACTTTTACAAACACACCAGAGTAAAATTTTAAAAGACCAAGTGTTGTCCGTGGAGACCAGCGCGGGGATCCCGGACTTTTATCCCCAGCCCTCCCTCTCTCCTTGCTGGGGGCAGAGAAGGCTAAATGTTAAATATAATTTCACCACCATGATCAGAAGAGGACCTGAGGGGAATGGTAGGAGGTAACTCTCTCCCTCTCAGCGAGGTTGTCATCAGCAGAGGCCTGGGGTGGGGGTAGGGGAGGGTTCTAAAATCTCAACTCTGCCCTGCCGCGACGAAGCAGCGCTCTTTCACTGCACCCCCTTCCTCACCTTGTCAAAATACACACACAGTATACACAAAGTACACCTTTACATCCACCTGGCTGTCAAGACACAGTATCCCACTATTCCCATCGGCTCAGTGTCAGAAGAGGCTTACTATAACAGAAGATTTAAATACGATCCAGGGTTTCATAATGTAATATTTCAATTGGCCAGGATATAGTAAAAAAATCATTGGTCATATCGCGTACCAAGAAAATCTCAACTTGATAATTATTTAAATAAAAGGTTAATGAGAAGCCCTTAGGAAAATTAATGAACTCATCAAGTATTTTTTGGAAAAAAAATGACCCTCTATGATCCTGCTGCAAAATGCAAGCCTAAAGGGAAGGATATAATGTGGTACAATCAAACAATTTTGCTGTAACATGACTATATATGCCCCACCCCCAAACTGTTATTCTTTATCACTTTGAAAAAAAATATGCATCATTCAAATAGTGAATAATATTAAATTTAAACTGAACTATGCAAAATATGCCTAGTTCTAATAGTAAATGAAATTAAACAAACTGAAATATAGTTTTGATAATTAGGTTTATTTTTTTCAAGATACAGTTGCAATAAATTATTTTTACTATTTAATTTGAAACATTTGTTCTTTTGAATATTGATTCCTTTTTTAAGCGGCCTTTTTCTAAAATCATTCATCCTAAAACAAAGAGAATCCCTTGTAAACAAACATGGGTCATTTTTCTTGTGCAAATGTTAGAGCGTACATTTTAAAGTCAAGAATGAATATGGAGTACAATTTTTTCTAGCAGATATTTAAGAAAAAGATAGATATTATAACGTTATAGTACTTTTTATCAAAGAAATTGAAGTGATTTGACATGATGCCTTAAGTTTTTGCCCATAGAAAGTTATCAAGAAAAATGTAGCAGTTGTAAGTGATAAAATATAATTTTATTTCTGTTTGACAAATCAAAATGAAATGCCAAATTGTTATCTCGCATTTAAATATGTTATATTTAAATGTTGGCCAATTGTAGATATGTGTGAGCCATACAAAATAATCGGTTTAAAACCGTTATCAACATTATCTAAAATATTATTTTTATACAAATATAAAAGCCTACATATTTACATATTTAATGATCACCATTTTGGAAGGCACCAGAGGAAGTATTTATGAATACTAATGTTTTATGCTTGTATATCCTAAAAGTCTTCACATAAACTCTCTTTTAATGACCTTTTAAAGTTCATCTGTTTTTACATATTTAGATATTTTCCCAAATGTTGATAAAACTGTTCACCCAAAATCCTCTGGCTTAAAACAACAGAGTAAGTGTACATGCATTATTATTCATAAAAGTTTAAGCCAAATATTTATATTTCAGAAGTGTGCTTTAAGAATTACATTTTTTAATATATGACACCTAAGAGATTGATATTTTGATATTTGTAAACTTTTAGACTCATTATTTTAATCTATATAAATATCTTCTGATGTGTCCAAACATTTACAATTTGTAACTAGAACCATTCCAATGTTAATAAACACATACTAAATCAAGGAAACACCAAGATGGCTAGTGAAGACAGAAGAGTTTCCAGTATCCTAGGTTTTCCTGTAAGCTTATAACTTTCAAAGAAAAAGGTGAAGGTGGCATTCTCCTCTGATGTGGTGGCATTTTCCCATTCCAATCTGAACAAAGCCCAATTTGGAAAACCCAAAATCAGCCACAACAAAAGGGTTCTGCTGAAAAACTGGCAGTTCATAAATAAAAATGAAATGTCCAGGAGCCTGGCTAGTTGGAGATGGTTTTCTGCTGATGAAAATTCCAACGAAATTAAAAATCAATTTCAGTATTAAAAACTATACCAATCAGTTATCCTATGTGAGAGCATTACAAACATGTACATTCACCTGACTATATGAGACTCTTCCTCCATAAACAATTTTTTTCATCAGAGAAAGAGAGGGAAAGAGAGAGTAGTGAGTTAGCTGCAAGGCTACTAGGTTAGTTTACAGTTACTGAAGGCTTCAAAATGTGTCAAGCACTGTCCTAAATGCTTTTATATAGTTTCCCCTTTTAATTAAAAAAGCAGCCCTACAAAACAGTCACCATATAGCCTAAGGTTAAGAAAATCAGGAGTTAGAATGTCTGTTTTAAAAATACTTGTCGACCAGATAGTCTTAGAATTAATTACTTCTGCTGACTTCATTTATAAAAGGGACATAAAAATAGCACCTACTTTCACAGGGTGGAGGAGGGTACTGAATGACACAAAGCAGCGGAAAATGCTTAGATTGTTGCCTGCATCAGAATAACCAAAAAACAAATGTAGCTATTATGATGATCATCAGTCTACAGAGGAAGAAACTTGCTTTATTTCTTTACATAGAATTATTACTATTTTCTATTTTGTCATGAGTTGATTTAGAAAATTTAGGAACAATAAATTTTCTAGGAATGTGCCCATTTCATTTATGCTTTCAAATAGGTTGACATAAATACAATAGGTTATCCATGTATTGTTTAGGCTTTTTAAAAATTTCTGCTAGGTTTGTAGAATACTGTCTTTATTTTCATTCCTCATAATATTTATTTGTGCCTTCTTTTTCTTAACTGAATTGGTTTCACCAATAAAATTTTTTTTCTTTCAAAAGAAAAAAAATTCTGTTTTTCTGACTCTACCTACTGTCTGTGTATGTTTTTAGTTTATCAATTTCTACCCTTATGTATACAAATTATTTCTTTCTTTAAGTTCATTCAATTGTTGTTTTCTATACCTTCAAAATTTGATCCTTTATGTCTTTAATGTTCAGCCATTCTTCTTTATTATTATAAGCATTTCATGCTATACATTTTATGCATTACTACTAATTTGCTGTTGGTGTGTCCCATCTATAATTGTAAGATACATATTGAAATTTCTTACTGTGATGGGTGTTTCTCAATACTGTTTTGTCAATGTTTGCTCTGTGTCTATTTAAGGTTATTTTATAGGTACCTGTTGTAAGCTTAGCATTATAGCTTTCTGATGGATTGAACATTTTATCATCAATATATGGTGACCCTAATAAAGACTTCTGAGGTAATATATGCTTTCTAATATTAATTGTGTTTTACAGGGAATTTGTCAATTTCACAAACATTTATGACTTTTTTTAATATGTGTAAATCTCTAACAGTATTCTTTCTTTCATTTTTGATATGAGGGATCCTTTCTTTTTTTAAATTGATCATTCTTACTGGAGTTTTATTTTATCGATTTTTCAAACAGCTGTTGGCTTTAATTTATTGTATTGTTTATTTTCCATTTCCCTAATTTCTGCACTTATCTTATTTATTTCTACTTAATTTGAGTTTTTTTTTTCTCATCCTTCTCTAGGTTCTTGCGGTAGAAATGTAGACCACTGATTTGAAATATTTTCTTTATTTCTTAAGTAAATTTGCAAACCTATAATATTTTCCTCTTTATCTGTACCCCCAAAATTTGAATGTATTGTGCATGCAAATCATTCAGTTCCAAAATTTTTAAATTTCTCATCTACTTCTTTGACCCACAGGTTACTTAGAAGTGTGTAATTTTACTTCCAAATATCTGGGACTTGTCTGATTGATACCGATTTCTAAATTACATGCTTGGTGGACAGAAAACAAACTCTCCAGGATTTCCATCTTGAAACTTATTGAGACTTATTTTATAGCACAACATATAGAATATATTGCAGAGTTTTTCCTTGAAAAATAATGTGATACGAGAATTCTCGTGTGTAGTGTCCTATAAATGTCTATTAGGTCAAGGTGGTCAACAACGTTTTTCAAATTCTCTATATCCTATATTTCTGTCTAGATATTTTTTCAGTTACTGAGAAAAGAGTTAAATCTGTAGTTTTTTTTTCTCTTTCCTCCTTTATTTTTGTTAATTTTGCTTTGTCTTTTATTCCTTCTCTTTCTCGCTGTAAAACTATGTTATTAGGCACATAGACTTTTATATCCCTAGAATAAATTGACCCTTTTATCAATTTGAAATGCTCATCTTTTTCTCTTGTAATTCTCGTGATCTTAAAGTCTATTTTGCCTTACATAAAGCAGTCAAGCCAGCTTTCTTATTTTTATTGTAAGCAATAAACGTGTGACTCATCTATTTCCATTTATTTACTTTCAACTTTTCTGTTGTCTTTACATTTGACATATGCCTTTTGTAGCCAGCATATAATTAGGTCTTGTTATTTAAGTAATCTGACAATCTCTGTCTTTTAATTGGTATGATAGTCAATTTATATTTAATGTAATTATTGATATGACTGGATTTAGGTTTATTATTTATGTTTTCCTGTTTGTGCTCCCTGCATTTTCCTCCCTCTGTATTTCTTTGCCTAATTGTTGTCAGTTAATAAATTATTTAAAATTTTCATTTAAATTTTGTCTAGGCTTTTTGTCTATCTTTTCACAGATTTTTTAGTGGTGCTCTAAGGACTACAATACGTATGTTGTACCAGTCTATTTAGCATTCTAATCTTACTTGATATATTTTGTGCCTCTATTTCTGTAAATTCATGATTTCTTAATATAAAAAAAGTCTCAGTCATTGCCTCTTTTATATATTTATTCACTTCCATACTCTATTCTTTTCACCAATTAAACTCAGCTGATCTTACGCTACCCTTTTTCTCTCTAAATGCTTCTGTTGTATTTTTATGTCTTTTCTCTCTGTGCAGTCTGTTGCTGATTTCTTATGATTACTCTTATTATTTCTTTAATTGTGCTTGAACTCATATTCACTGTTATGTACTAAACTTTTTTTAATTTCAACAATTTGCATTTCATTTATAAAACTGATATTGCTTTTCAATTGTTGTTTAGTTTTTCTATTATACATAGTTAATAGTATGTAAATGATAAATTCTAATGTTTTAAAACTTTAAAGGTCAAAATCAATTATTTATGGACTTGCTCACACTTAACTATGAAGGTTTGTTTCCTTTTTCTCTTTTTTCTTTTTCTTTTCTTTTTTTTTTTTTTTTGAGATGGAGTCTCGCTTGGTTGCCCAGGCTGGAGTACAATGGCCCAATCTCGTCTCACTGCAAGCTCCACCTCCTGGGTTCACACCATTCTCCTGCCTCAGCCTCCCGAGTAGCTGGGACTACAGGCGTCCACCACCATGCCCAGTTAATTTTTTGTATTTTTAGTAGAGACAGGGTTTCACCGTGTTAACCAGGATGGTCTTGACCTCCTGACCTTGTGATCCGCCTGCCTCGACCTCCCAAAGTGCTGGAATTACAGGCGTGAGCCACCGTGCCCATCCTTACATACTTAATTATATTTAATTTTAGATATGTTGGTTTATTTTAATTTTCAAAAATCACACAGGCCTAAACTGGGATTCTTGCCGGCTAAAAAATTTGTATTTGATTCTACACAGGCAATGTGCATGTGGTAGTGTTGAACACATACCTCTTTTTAGGTTTCCTGGCTTACTACAGAAATCTCAGTTTCATGTCCTTGTTGCTCTAAGCCTCAGGTCATTTCCCAATTGCAGTTCTGGTAGCAGTCTTTGCTCACAATGAAAACCTACTGTGGGCTAACAATTCAATGCTCAGATTTCTGACTTTTGCTTATTTTTATTTCTTCTTCTATTTTGTTTTAAATCTGCCTGGATGGAGAGTTCTCTTACTTGCTGTGAGGACTGTTTTGTTGTTGTTGTTCTGATCAAGCTATTTAATACTTCTGTTTCCATTTTCTCACCTGTAAAATGGAAGAATAATAGTACTTGCATCTTGTGGTCACATGCAATAAATACGTGTGTAGGTGTGTGTAACAAACACACACACACCAATAAGTCGATCGATATTAGCTATTATTATTCATGTTACTATTATTATTATTGTACTCTTAATAGTAAATATAAAACTACAAAATGATAAGCAATGAAATGGGGTTCTATTTTCAGCTTATTCTGCCACAATGTAAATAAAATGCAGTTTTTAGTTAAGCTGCATATATTTAGATATATTTAATGTTTATTCCATTAAGTAATGCAATATCTTACTTTTCCATAAAAATACAAAAAGTATGATATATCAGTAGAGACGCTGCTAACATTACTGAAATTAACCAAAAGGCACATGACACTTGCATTTACAGCACTCACCAAGGTGCCTATTTCCATCATGTGCTTGATGTTTTGAAAACACTTTGACTTTCCTATCACAGAAGAATTATTCTAGATCTCAAGAGTTAATTAACTCATCTACATTCTGACATCTAGTGAGATGGATGGATCACAGTCTATCAGCAGGTGAATATATGTATAGCAGATACTTTGCCTCAGTAAGTAATCACACCGTATATTAGACCACAAATATTTGAGGGGAAATGTTAATGATATACTCTTGTTTGTAAAAGAATTCTTTTAAATCAACTGCCTCATCACCAATTACAGTTAGGATGTAGATACTTGTCTAAAACCATACTAAGCCTCCAGCCATTGAGCTTATAAAAAATGGCAAGACCATAGCTTCCTAGTGCGTGTTAGCATCCATTAAGCAGGGAGAGGATAATTGAAACTGAGTCAAGAGTTTTCCTTTTCTTCCTTTCCTACCTTGCTTCCTGTGTTCCAAACACATGTCGTAGGTTACAAATACATGTAAAGCCTTAATTACACTTAGCATCTGGCAGCTGTTGACTTACAGAGAGTTGTTGAGTCACATACAGCCAAAGTCAAAAAGGAGTTCAAGAATAGAAGGCAGAAGCTGGCTCAATAAGGTTAAAAAAAATTCTTATGTCATCACAGCTGAAATACTACACCATCAGCACTTGTTATATACATGGGGTGAGTGGTGCTATAAGTAATCAGTTTCAGCAATGCCAGAGACTAATTCTCCACTAAAATATATCATTCCCTATGTGGTTAGAGCTATAAACCAAAGGACCTTACAACCATTACTATCAACACTTAATGGATGTATTCACATATAATAGAGACAACAGCTTCATGAGGATTTCAGCATATCCAGAGGCATCGAGTTATGACTTTTTAAAAAAGGTCTTCACACTATCCACTGAAAACTGTTGACAGAGTTAAATGTGCTAAATAATACTGTTCATATACTGCTTATTACAAAAGATGTTTAGATGAAAAAAGTCTCCTGAAAAAGTGACAAAAAGAACTTAAGGCCTTTAACTCTGGCCATCATTTGCCACACAGTGGCAATTTTAGGAGTAGAGAATTATTAGAAATAATAGCCTTGGTCTTAAGAGGGATAGATGTCAAATTACAAATGTCCAGTTACAAAAACACAATAAGAAAGATACAATGAGTGCTATATGTTGTTTATAGACACATACATAGCAAAGAGATAAGTTTGGACTAGAAAAATATAAATCAAATTCTTAATCGCAATTATTTCTGGAGATGGAGGGAGAAGAATGCAATTAGGAAAAAAAGAGGATTTGAGGTAAATTTGACAAAATATTAACACTCGTTAATTACAAGTGATACTCATTGCTCGCTTTCTTCTCTGTACTTTTCTATGACTTTCCTTAAAAAAATCAATTTAAAAATTTTGAAAATAAAAACCTTGGATAAGTCTATCCTAGTTCCATACTTTAAATTATTTGTGATATCATAATGTTTTCTATTATGTCACATCACTCAGCATGTCCCTGCTCATATGTTCAATTACACTACATAGAAATACCCCCATTCGTATGTCTTTTCAAGTTCCATTCAATTTGGGCTAAAGTTATGGAGCAAAAGTACACATAACCAAATCACAATATGACTGATATACTGTCAGGAAACCCACGCACTTTGTTCCCTAGGTGAGAGACTGTGTACATCTGTGGTTAAGAATATTGTAGAAGCGAGTAGCCCAGAGTTTGAATTCCTATTCCACTACTTATGGTTTGATAGTACGCACTCTAATTAAACTTCCACTCCCAATCTCCAGTCTTCTCATTCATGAAACATGCTTAATAATACCTATCCTCATAAGCCTATAGAGATAAAAGTTATCTGTGACTAGAAAACACTTAGCAGTGTAACCAGAATAGGGGGTCCTGAATAAAATATTTTAGAAAATTGTGCAGAGTAATAATTGTAGTAGAAACAGCAGCAGAACCAGTAGGAGAAATTTTCAGGTTCTTTTTCCTGTAATGAATATTCATTCTTAACATACATTGTTATGTCATTATCTCACACCATAAATGGAGGATACCATGAGCAGAAAGACAGCCTACCATATGGGAGCTGGGAATACATGAGAAGAGACATAGAACCTAAAAGAATGCGACCCTGGGCCGGAAGAACAAAGGCAAAGAGCCTTATTCACTAGTACATCCATTAACTCATTTGACCAATATTATTGGTGCTTACTAAATGCTAAGCCTGGTTCTAAGGGCTTGAAATGTATCAGCAAACAAAGTAGATCAAGCCCTTACAGAGCTTCTATTTTGGCTGAGATAAACAGACATTAAACAGTTAACATAATGTCTAAGTATCTGACACCTTTTTTAGGGCGATACAGTGCCTTATCTACAGTAAGTACTTGGATATAATGGGTTTAATTTTTTAAAAACTTTTATTTTAGGTTGAGCAGTACATGTGCAGGTTTCTTGTTTGAGTAAACTTGTATCACCGGGGTTTGTTGTACAGATTTCTTCATCACCCAGATACTAAGCCTAGTGCCCAGTAGTTCTTTTGTCTGCTCCTCGCTCCTCCCACTCTCCACCCTGAGGTAGACCCCAGTGTCTGTCGTTCCCTTTTTTGTGTTCATGTGTTCTCACTGTTTGGCTCCCATTTATATGTGAGAAAATGCGGTATTTGGCTTTTTGTTCCTGTCTTAGTTTGCTAAGGATGATGGTCTCTAGCTCTATCCATGATCCTGCAAAGGGCTCATATGATCTCATTCCTTTTTATGGCTGCATAGTATTCCATGGTGTAAATGGTGCTGGGATAACTGGCTAGTCATATCAGAAGATTGAAACTAGACCTCTTCCTTACACCACATACAAAAATCAACTCAATATGGACTAAAGACTTGAATGTAAAACCCAAAACTATAAAATCCCTGGAAGGCAACCTAGGCAATATCATTCTGGACGTAAGAACTGGCAAAGGTTTCGTGACAGCGATGCCCCTAGCAATCGCAACAAAAGCAAAAATTAACAAATGGAATCTAATTAAACTTAAGTATGTAATATCTTAAAAGGTGGTAGGTACTATGAAAAGAAAAAAAAAATAGAAAGTAGAAGAGTGCAAGGCCATTCATGAATACTTTGAATAATCTGATCCAGGAAAGCTCAGTGAGAAAGTGACTTTAAAAAAACTACTTAAGTAAATTGGGAAATTTAATCTTTCCAATACCTGCTGCATGAGGAAGCCAATGGTGCAAAGATCTCAGGAAGGAGCATGCCTGGCACATTCTAGGAAGAGCAAGGGGGACTTTGTGGCTGGAATGAAGGCAGCAAAGTTACAACCTTAAGAGAAGACATCAGAGAGTTAAGGAGACAGTTGGGTCCTGTGTGGCTTTGGAGGTGATTTTAAGGACCTTGGTTTCAGTGAAATAGCCATTGCATTGTTTTGGGAGGGAAAGATGACATCATCTAATTTACATTTTAAAAGGATTGCTCTTCTGAGATTTGCTGCAAAGAGTAGTAAAGGAATGTGGCAGAACCGAATCAAGGAGACCACTTAAAATACACTTTAAGATTGCATGGGAAAGACGATTACAGCCCGTCCGGATGGAAAGAGTGTCGGGGTGGGCAGTCTTGAAATTTGCTGATGGATTACACGCAGGGTGTGGTAGAAACAGAGGGGTTAGAAGTGACATCATTTTTGGATTGAAAACTAAGAGAGAGTTACTATCTATTGAGATGGGGTAGGCTGTAAAAACAGCAGGGTGTGTGTGTGTGTGTGTGTGTGTGTGTGTGTGTGTGTGTGTGTGTGTGCAGATCAGAATTTCAGTCTTCGAGATGTTGAGTTTACTTTGGGTGTTTGACATATAAGTGAAAATGCTGATCAGTTAGCTGAATATATGAGACAGGTCTGATATACGAGATACAGATTTGGGAGTCATTGCCATGTACATACTATTTAACATTGTGGAACTGGAGAAAATCCCCAGTTTGGAATAAATGTAGATAGAAAAGAATATCAAGAATTGAGCCCCGGGTCACTTTCCTATTAAGAGCTTGGAGTGAAGAAGAGAAAGCAGTAAAGGAGTATGGAAAGAGGGACCATAAGACCACAAGGGTCAAATAACTATAAACAGAAAAAAAAAAAGAAGAAAGGAGTGACCTGTGCAGTGGGAGGAAAGCCACGAGTGTATGGTAGAATGGAATCTAAATGAAGAAAGTATGTCAAAGAGGAGGGAGTGATTAACTGTTGCAAATGTTGCTGATGGGTCATTAAGAGAACTGAGAATGGACAATTATGATGTAGCAACATAGTAATCATTGGTGACCTTGGCAAGAGCAATTATGTGGAGGGGTATATGTGAAAGTCTGATTGGATTGTGTTTATGAGAAAATGGGGGAGAGTAATCAGAAGCAATGTGATAGACAGCTCTTCTGAGATTGGCTGCAAATTGTAGTAAAGGAATGTGGCAGTAACTGGTAGAAGAAGTGGGTGAATGTAAGTCAGGGAAAAGAACAGCAGGTTTTTGTGCGAGAAGGAATCAAAGAATGGTTCATTTAGGAGACAGGCAGGTAGAATTCCTGGAGCAACCTCTAATAGACCAGTGGGACCGTGATGTTGCACACAGGTGAACGCTTTACCTGGGATAACAGTAGAAGTTTTTCACTTAGAGTGATAGGCAATAAGGTGGAGTATGTGGGCACAGAAGCTGGGAGTGTGTGGATGGTAGATGTGGTTTCGAAATTCGTTTCTGATTGAAGATGAGGAGGAGGTGCTGGAGGCTTAGAAGCAACATCTGGAAGAGTGAGAGAATGCATAGACCAGGCGTTTTAGTACAACTGAAGAACAGAATCAAAGGACTACTTGAAATTTAATAAACTTCAAAAACATATGAGAACAAATTTATTATCGTACACACATAGCACTCAAGTCATCATTCACTAGCCTTGCCTTGATTCACATAAAATAATTAAATTGTGGTGACTATATTGAGTTTTTAAAAAATAAGACAATCTGAAATGCAATGTGGAAACACTGTCCTTAAGAAGGATGGCTCGGCCGGGCAAAGTGGCTCACATCTGTAATCCCAGCACTTTGGGAGGCTGAGGCGGGAGGATCACCTGAGGTCAGGAGTTCCAGATCCCGTCTCTACTAAAAATACAAAAATTAGCCAGGTGTGGTGGCACATGCCTGTAATCCCAGCTACTCGGGAGGCTGAGGCAGGAGAATCGCT
Organism: Homo sapiens; assembly: GCF_000001405.40. Lineage (NCBI taxonomy): Eukaryota > Metazoa > Chordata > Mammalia > Primates > Hominidae > Homo > Homo sapiens. The sequence continues at coordinate 167,357,382 of NC_000005.10, read as the reverse complement.
TGAACCTGGGAGGCGGAGGTTGCAGTGAGCTGAGATTGCGCCACTGAACTCCAGCCTGGGCAACAAGAAAAAAAAAAAAAAAGAAAGGATGGCTCTTGCATAAGGGGGAAAAAGTCAAAGCAACGAGGGCTCTGTGCTCCATGTGGACCATGTTATTCCTGAAGTATAAGTTATAACTACAAATTCTGAATCCACAGTAATCAATTAGTATTACGTTACAAATTTCTACTATTTTCAGATAAGGATATTCATCTTTAAGACAAGGCCTTTTTCCTCAAAATATTGGAATTCATACATTTAGATTTAAAAAAAATGTCGACTTGAACAAAGCTTTCCTCCCAGAGCCAACTTATCCATTGGACACAATAGGCTCAGTATTATAAGGCCCACAATACTTTCAGGCACCCACGGAAAAGCTTTAAGTTCTATGAAAATCAAAAGAAATAAACTTTTAGGTCAGAGAGAATGTTTTAATATACAAAAGCAATACATTTGCTTTCATATTAAGGCAGTGGAGAAATATAATTTTAAATGTCTTTTTATGGAGAAAGGGGTTGATGAAGACAAACATGCCTAAGGCCCATGAAAGGTATAATGCAGCCATGCTTCCTCCATAAAATTCTCATGTGTATGGAAGGCCAAAATCACTCTGAATCAAAACACCAACCTCCTCAAAGGATTCTTATGAGAAATGGGTACTGTGTTCTATTATTGATATCATCCTGGAATGCACAAACAGTGTACTCCCCTGCATAAACATCAAATACTCTGGCCATTTGGCCATTATCAGAGGTGAAGCAACAGTGCCTGGCCTCCTCTCAGGGGTTCTGGCAAGGCATACCCAGGGCTCAATAACTGTTTAGTCATTGCAAGCAACTTTCCTTGCCTTTCCTCATTTTTTTCAAAATATCTCCCAGAATCCAGTGACTCTGCTATCTTCTACTATTTAGCATTCCGAGAGGAGGTTTATCAAAGAGTTTTTCAAAGCCCACTGCCTTAGGATGCAACATCCTCCATGGGAAGTGACAAGAATTACCTTCTCTGAGAATCAAAAAACAGGGAGGTTTCTGGGCTTTCCAGAAGTCACAAAGCATATCTCTGACAGAGCTGAGAATAGAGATGCAACCCTCTTGCATCTTCCTGCCTTTTTTTTAATTTTAATTTTTTTTTTTTTTTTTTTTTTTTTTTTTTTTTTGAGATGGAGTCTCGCTCAGCCACCCAGGCTGGAGTGCAGTGGCCCCATCTCCATCTCAGCTCACTGCAAACACCGTCTCCCGGGTTCAAACGATTCTCCTGTCTCAGCCTCCCGAGTAGCTGGGATTACAGGCACCCGCCATCATGCCCAGCTAATTTTTGTATTTTAGTAGGGACGGGGTTTCACCGTGTTGGCCAGGGTGGTCTTGAACTCCTGACCTCAGGTGATCTGCCCGCCTCGGCCTCCCAAAGTGCTAGGATTACAGGTGTGAGCCACGGCACCCAGCCATCTTCCTAGCTTTAAAAAAAAAAAAAAAAAATTAAGGGTCATTTCTTTTAGATTGCTTCTTTTTTAAAATGCCAACTTTTCTCAGCAAAACTGCTCCATCTCTAGAATGACGGGCAATTAAATCCAATCTGACAATTGTTCTCTATTGAGATGTTTCTCTTTGGTGAGGTTTTCCAGGTGCTTTATGAAAAACATTTGCACTATCTGGCACTTTGTGAGCTTTCATCTGAGAAGCCACATTTCCCTTATTAAAATAGCTTTGCTTTCAAAGGAGACAATGGTTTTGTTTGCTCCCTCGCGGCTCATGAGCAGACCACCAGGGAAATTGCTGTGTCACTGGCACAAGTCTGCTATTCCTGTGTCACAAGGGGTTAGGAGCCTCATTAATTCCTGTGCTCTCATTTCAGATTATTTAGGGATCAGCAGCAGATTATTATTTCAAACACTTATTTCTTGCTTCAACTTCCTCTCTCTCAGAATTGGCTCCAAATCACTTTCTCTTGTGCGCGGTGTGTTCAATCTCCATTCGGATAAGAAAATCAGAATGGTCCTTTCAGAAAGTCTATCCATCAGCATTATCAGAAACACACCCCACAAAGGCTTTGGTTGACTTTCCTGCATATCTGGCAGGTCGTATGCTTCTTTGTACTTAAGTCTCCCCAAGAATAGTTGCCATTATACTGCACACACAGACCCACGGGCACCACTGTACGTGTTTCAGACTGCTTCGTTCAATTTGGCTCCACAAATAGACAGAAAGGTGTGCTAAGAACCAACTACGGAAACAGACAGAAAATCTGTGTCCTTGCTTTTGGGGATCTCATAAGCTAATAAGTAAGATAAACAGAAATATGCAATTACAATATCGTATCTTATTCCTGATGGTTTATTTTCACCCCACCTACATTGGCAGGGGTAGCGTAGGGGAGAGGTAACTATTTCTTTGTCATTTAGAGAGCCTGTACTCAATGGCAAATATGTGTCCTTAATCCCCTGAGGCTTCCGATTCTTTTGAAAGTAAAAGGATGGGATGAAAAGGATGGCATCATTCATTCATTTCTTCATTCAACAAACATTTCTGGCTTAATATTTATTGATCGTGTGTTATGTGTCAGACTTATAAACACTTTACATGAAAAATATCAGAACAAAACTATGAAGAAGGCATACAGCTCAAAAGAAAGAAATAATATTCCTAAGGCCACATAACGAGTAGGTGGGGAAACTTCAATTCAAACATGTCTCTTTTTTGACTTCAAAGGCTATATACTCTCTCACAAGCCATGCTTTCTAGAATATAAAGACTTTCAGCTTTAAACTTCTATGATTAACTATCTCTAGCCAGGGACTAGACATAAAGCCCCTTTCCCATTAGAATACTGGAAGATGGGGGAGGGTTTAGGGGAGGGGGTGAAGGGAAAGCTTGTAGAGAATATATAGAAAAAGGGCAAACAGAAATGAAACTGTTTTTTATAAGACAATGGTTTATGGACTCCTAAATTTTATTTTCTCCCAACAACTGTTCAAATCACTGACCTAATTTGTGGATTATTAAAGTGAATTAGGCTTATGCCTTTAAACATTCTTTTTGGATAAAATCAGTGAGCCATGAGCACAAAAGCAAGAGATCTAATTTAAAGAAGTAGAGAATTGAGTGGCCCTTGGTCTCAGGAACTGTGACACCATAAGGACACTGACTTGTTGACTTGGCATCCTCTCCCATCACGCCAGATCTGCCTTGGCAGTTCCGGCTGGTCTTTACCCATGTAAACCCAGGATCTAGTGTAGTAGTTGCTCAATAAACACACAGGTAGTTTGCTTAATGTATAACCCAGTTAGACTGAAAGCAGAGAAAAGGTCGTAGTTCCATTCATCAAGAATGTATACTTTATTCTATGTTTCTTTCTTCTTCATCTTCCATTTTTCTTCTACACATTTATTTATTTTACAATATGCATGGGATACTAGTACAGATAAAAATTATAAAACAGATTTCATTCATTTGGTTTCAACATCTTGGCAGTGCTCTCTCTCCAACCACTCCGAAAATAACATCTCCAAAAAAATTTTCTTTTAAATAAAACACCATATACGGCCGGGCGCGGTGGCTCACGCCTGTAATCCCAGCACTTTGGGAGGCCGAGGCGGGCGGATCACGAGGTCAGGAGATCGAGACCATCCCGGCTAAAACGGTGAAACCCCGTCTCTACTAAAAATACAAAAAATTAGCCGGGCGTAGTGGCGGGCGCCTGTTGTCCCAGCTACATGGGAGGCTGAGGCAGGAGAATGGCGTGAACCCGGGAGGCGGAGCTTGCAGTGAGCCGAGATCCCGCCACTGCACTCCAGCCTGGGCGACAGAGCGAGACTCCGTCTCAAAAAAAAAAAAAAAAAAAAAAAAACAACAACAACAACAAAAAACACCATATACTATTCACTGCCATCATGTGGTCACTTGGACGGACCCAAAGCCTTAGATCAGATGAGAAATGTATGTAAAAATTTGTGTATTTTTACTTGTCTGCTTTCTACCAGGTTTTATTTCAAGCAATAAACTTTCTGCACCCCCACCACCCCCCTGCACATTACAGAGTCAAGTTTCCTGTGTTACACCAATTTCAAAACGTTCAGCACCATTTATCCCTTTTTTATAGTTTATATAAAGACATGGCTCCAAGACCTCAAATAACAAAAAGTTTATTTATGTATTTATTTTTGCATGGCATGCGCTGATGAGCCAGTCTGCTCAGAAAGCATTTCACAGATTAGAGGCATGAGTATGGTTTCGGGCAAGCCTCCCTCATGTTTCTGCGCATTGGCTGATAAACACTTCAAAGTAAACCGCTCATAAATATGAAATGAAAAGCCGAGGAGTCGTTATGCGCCGCTTTGAGATACAAATCTCTTTATTCCCTTCTGAAGTGGGGTTTGATTGACGTAATGAGTCATAGATCCTGTCCAGGGACACATTGCCTTTTCCCCTTTTTCTCTGGAGACAGGGAGACTTTAAAGAAATCCACTTCAGAACTTGGTGATAGACAGCTTACTTGAAAAAATAATAAAGTTGAATCCTATATTAAATAACTTATTATTTTGCGTTAATGCCGACTTTGACAACCATGACATATGTCAGAGTTTCACTACACAACCTCACAAAGACGTTATTAGCTACAACTCTAAGAAGAAGATTGCCAAATTTTTTATAAAAATTGTGCTATCATCTCTTTTCTCATATGTATTGTTGCTATGTAGATCCTTTGTCTGATAACAGAAAATCACTACGTAAATTAATTCGGAGCAGAAGCCTAAAATCCTGTAAGCCCAAAGGCTAAAGGGAATAACACAGATAATGGGGGAGAACAATTATTGTAAATTTATTTTACAAATAAATGTCTTCCAAAAAGGGGAGGATCACGTGGCAAAACTTTCTATGCAAAATAGATTGAAGAATAATCAAAGACTCAATTTATTCTTCCTCATAAGTTTTTAATAATTATCTGCTTACCTGAAAAAGATAAAAATTTCAACAAGGTCACGCAATTTTTCATTAGATCACATTTTGCAAATTCAAATGACTTACAAAATCAAGGCAGTTAACATAAAGAAGCTAACTCAGCCATTGTAGAAGGCAATAAGGAACAGTGGGGGCCTGTGGAAAAATAGGAAAGAGTGCAGGTCCCTTTGGGAAAAGCAGCTGCTATTCAGCTCCAGTAGACTTCTGTCATTTAAGAAGGTGGAGCTTATGTTGCTAGATCTTGCAGTGTTTCTAGAAAAGCCTAAAATCTAGATTTTATGTGATATTTACCTATTGATAAATGATAGCAAAAAATAAAATTTGAAAAAGGACAGTCCAAATTAAATAGGCTTTTAAGTTGCCAGTCTTCAGTCTTTGCTCTAGATTTTCTTCACTCATCACTTAAATACACTTTTATTAAAAAATAAAACAGGAGAGAGAGATATTAAAGACCTCAAATCAGAGAATGTTGAGAGAGGGACTCCTAAAGCAATTTCATCCAGTGGTTTGAAATTGTGGTTTTATTTTTTTTTTTGTTTTTTTGTTTTTGTTCCCAGATCCCTGGGGACTCTGCGATAGCCTCCAGCAGGTGAGGACCTGATTACAGCTGCCCCTTAAATAATGACTTGGGGCCAGCAAACTTTTGAAAACAGCTAATTAGGACCATCCCTTCATTATTAGGCAAATAAACCAAGTTATTCACCATTCCTTGTCCCCCAATATCAAATAGCTCCGATGTCCAAGGCTCCATTCAGCTTCCGGTTTTCATCACCTCTATATGTTCTGCTTTGAGACTTAGCCTGAGCAACAGAGAGAACTAACTGTCCACCGGAATTAGTGCTTCCCTTTCCATAGAACTGTCACTGCAAAGTGGCTATGCCCTGTCAGGAGCTATTGCTCAGTGAACCCATAGCATCTAGGTCAGGCCATGTGTCTAGTTCTTGTGAAGCAGAAGTAATGTGTGTCATTTAAAAACAAGAGAACTTAAAAACCTTATGAAATTTCTCCATGTTCTCTTTCCCTGATGATGCAAGTGTGGCTTCAAGATGGTGGTGTCACCAGAAGAAAGACGCTTTGTTGTCAGTCACTACCTGGAGGAGATGCACCTAGTCATCAGCATTATTGATTTCAAATTTCATGGGAATAAGAAATTAATTGTGGTTGATCTTATGTATATATATCCCATATATATATATCCATATATATCCCATATGTATATATCCCATATATATATAATCCATATGTATATATCCCATATATATATCCATATGTATATATCCCATATATATATATCCATATGTATATATCCCATATATATATCCATATGTATATATCCCATATATATATATCCATATGTATATATCCCATATATATATATCCATATGTATATAATCCATATATATATCCATATGTATATACCCCATATATATATCCATATGTATATATCCCATATATATATCCATATGTATATATCCCATATATATATCCATATGTATACATCCCATATATATATATCCATATGTATACATCCCATATATATATCCATATGTATATATCCCATATATATATCCATATGTATATATCCCATATATATATCCATATGTATATATCCCATATATATATATCCATATGTATATATCCCATATATATATATCCATATGTATATATCCCATATATATATATCCATATATGTATCCCATATATATATATCCATATATGTATCCCATATATATATCCATATACGTATCCCATATATATATATCCACATATGTATCCCATATATATATATCCATATATATATATCCCATATATATATCTATATATATCCCATATATATGGATAGGTTGTCTATATATTCCATATATATATGGATAGGATATATATATCTTGTATATATATAGATAGGATATATACATATACCCCATATATATGGGACATACATACACACACACACACACACACACACACACACACATATATATGTATATGGGTTTTCATAATTCCATCACTTCAATTTATCCCAAATGATGCAGAAAGTATTGAATTGTTTGAAGTTGTGTTTTATAGGAAAGGTATACAACTAAGTGATCCAAAAAATAAATTATTGACTTCCTATTGTGAGTTGGCTGATGCCAATAACTGCCATTTAGTCAGACTCATTTTTGTATCAAACAAGGAGGACCAGGGAAATTAAGTGACCCAAGGGAAGGACATGAAAGTGGCCAGTATAAGAACAGGGACTCAAACTCAGATTTTGGAAGCTCCAAAAAAGTTCTCACTGCCCTATTCCACCTTTTGCTGGAGCATCACGTGTTGACAACTGACTATTAAAATCTGTATGAGTCCATATTGATATAATTTGACACCATTCTGATATGCCACATGTTAGATTTCTGATTATTTGTACTATAAATTTAAAAACTCTGAAAAATTCAAGTATTCCTAAATATTCAGCTGGACATAAATAACTTGCTGACCAATATGTAAAATTATAATTTTTCAATATAGGCAATATTGTCTTTCAATACAGCAATTTTTGATGAGATGTCTTCATGTATATAAGAAAAGAGATGATAGCATAACTTTTTTAATGTGAAAGAAAATAACTCTTACCTAAGCTAGTATCAGAACACTGTTAGGCATCAAACACTAACACAATCACCAAAATTAAAAAAGTAACAGGCTATATACATATATTTACATATACACACACATATACTGCATATTCTGTGTGTGTACATATACATATACAGATCATGTATATATACAGTATATGTGTGTGTATATATAGTAATTACAATAAGATAATTGAGAAATAAGAAAAGAGAATTACTATGTATCTATATATACATGCACACAATAATAACAAGAATAATTTTTGAGTAATCTCTAGTTTCTAGTAGGATCCACAATTAGCTCACTCTCAGACTAGGAGGGATGGTGTGGCACACTGCAAAGAGGCTTTGGAGTCAGAATAAACTAAGTTCAAATTCTGTAGCTTCTTAGCTCTGGGACCTTGGGTATATTTCCTGGTCTCTATAAATCCCAGTTTTTGCATTTATAAAATAAGGATAATAATAGCTACTGTATTCAGACATACAGACTATAGCTCACATCTGAGGAAACTACACCTAGATCTATTAGATGACGTGCACCAACCATGACAAGGTGAGGTTGAAGTTGAACCAGTTGATGCCCGGAGCTGAAGGTGGGAGCAAGTGAGCATGAGCAATCCTTTTGGAGTGATGGCAGTGGTCCAAAATTGGATTGTGGCAACGCAACTCAGAATATAACAGCTTAGAAATTTACTAAAGTTAATTCAATTGTACACTTGAAGTGGGGGAATTTTATAATTTGTAAACTATACCTCAATATAGCTGTGAAGAAACTAAACCAGTTGAATTTAAGTATTTCTGTGTATGTAGGTGAAAATTGTACCTGTAAAAACCAGCAAACAACAACGGGGTCAACTCTTAAGACTTACAGAATATGCAATAAACTAGTTGAAGTTAATGCAATTCTCTGAGATCACGAACTGAAAGAAGATAGGAAATCTGACGATGCCAAGAAGGCAGTATTATTGTAACGGCATGACTTTCATTTTGACTCCATTGCCAATTTTAGTGGCTGAAATACTCCTAGAATAATAGTTACTCATTAATGTTGCTTTGGAAATCATGAAGGCACAAGTCCCCTGGGGTTAAAACACTCTATGTTAACCATCAGGGTAAAAAGAATAGCCTTTCTAAGAATAAATCTCTACCGGAATACTTTTCCATCTTGAGGTTTTTTAATCCTGTAGACTGAAACAGTTTGATTAAACGGGCTACACTGGGATCATGTATTCTATCTCAGTCTAGGAAGAAACAGCTGTCAGTCACAGTGCTGTCCTCCTCCCACAGTCCCTGGAGGACAACCTAAGCAAGCTGTCGCCAGGATAAGCGCCCCTTGGAGAATTGCCGGCTCGTCAATGGCCCACAGCTGAAAGCAGCCATTCTACTCAGTCGGTCTATTAGCCCTTTGACTTCCTTTCTTCATGCACAAATATAAATATAATGCTTAAGTGAATGATTACTACTGTCCCAGAAGAAATTTCAATTAAACACTCGAAATCCTTAGGAACGGTACCTAGGGGGATTCCCAAACAGAGCTGCAATTCGTTATGTATTATTAAGTTTGGCCTCGGATTGTAAATCTGTTTTCTCTTAACATTAGCTGGGGCTTTCAAAGAACTGCCTCCCGTATGATTTGAACAATTCTTTCCCAAACTCCGAGCAGGACTACTATAATAGAGATGTTCCCGAACAACACGCCGTCTAGTCCAGTTTAAAAGGCATATGGGAACATTCCCTTGCCTGCTGGCAGAATTTTGGATGCGATCACTTCTCTTCTCTCTTCTCAAAGGGCACGGTGGACATGAGGGACTGTTTGGTGGTTGCCCCTGTAGATTCTTTTGGGTAATGCTCTGTGTTTCCATCTGCCGTAGTCTTGTGACATCACCTGCATGAAAGCTAATTACCATGATTCAATCTCCATGAAGGGAGAAGGTACCTTGTCTAATTTATTTCTATGTTGTCAGCACCTACAACAGTACTGGGTATATAAATAGAAGGTTTTTCATAAATAAATATAAATAGATTGATAGGACAGGAGGAGGAAGAAAAAAGGAAAGAAGGGAAGAAGGGAGGAAGGGAGAAAGAAAGGATAAAAAAATAAAGTAGGAAGGAAGGAAGGATGGAAGGAAGAAGGAGGTTTAGAAGTGGATGTGAGAAATTATTTTACCATTTCTTTGTACCCCATTAGATTTTCCAGAATGCTCTCACCACTGCAACCCTAGTACCTAGTAAAGTAGCTGGGACATGGCAGATGACAAATACATTATTTTAACTTCATTTCCTTGGTAATAAATCTGATGTGTTTTCTATGCCAATGAAAATATTTGCCAATGTAGACTACACTTATCGATAAGGAAGCTGTTGGGAGACAATTCTCTAGGCTTCTCCTTTGTTGCTGCACATTTTGCAAGCAGAGGCACTGACTGCTTTTGGTCTGGACTATCTTTTCAGAGCAAATTGCATAGCAAACAGCCATAGAAGACAAAGATAGTGCCTTCTACCATAGCAAAGCACAGGTTTTATTACAGACTTGGATGATCAAGATATTATCTGTTCTGGAGCAAAGGAGCAGGCATGCGTACTATCCATTAAAAAAGATTCGGTCTTTTTATACACAGGTTTTTTTTTTTTTCTCTTGTAATTCACCTCACTATGCACACAGGTATGATCTGGCTTTTCTCGTGTTTCTCTGTAAAAGCTGGAGCTTGGTGATGGCTCATGCAAATAATCACAGCACTTTGGGAGGCCAAGGTGTCCGGATTACTTCAGCTCGGGAGTTTAAGACCAGCCTGGGCAACATGGCAAGACCCTGTCTCTACAAAATATAAAAAAATAGCTGGGTGTGGAGGCGTACACCTGTAGTTCCAGCTACTCTTGGGGCTTGAAGTGGAAGGATTGCTTGAGCCCAGGAGGTCAAGGCTGCAGAAAGCCGTGATCATGCCACTGCACTCCAGCCTGAGTGACAGAGTGTGAGACTCTGTCTCAAGAAAAAAAAAAATAGTTGGGGCTTGGAGAACTGGCACAAATGCCAATATTCTGGCTACATTCCTTGCTGTGCGTACAAAACTGCCCTCTGTCTCTGACCCAGGAGGCTTATGGCTTCTGCCAGCATCCATGAAACTGGCAGACTTGTTAGCTTACAAGTAGGGTGAAATCTCAGAACCGTCACAGTTCTTGGCAGAGGCTACAAGAGCAATTTATCACTGATTATCAGAGGATGAAATGACCTCGGAGAACTCTATTTTGCCTATTTACCAATATGTGGCATGAGAGCAAATTTTAATATCTTAAAAAGTCTAAGAGAAAACATTTGTACATTTAAAACAGATTTCATGGATAAATCATATGTTTATTAATAAAAATAACTGGGCAGACCAAATAAAGTAGCTCATTACTTCCCTCATTCTCTTCTGGAATAAAAGCAGCTCCGTGTATGAATAGGAGCTATCTCATGCTGATAAAAAATTCTGGTTGACAGTTACATTTACCTGTAATTGATAAGTTGAGAAAATTAACTAACCATAATGTAATAAATGCATCTTGTTTGACGGTCATTTTTCAAAGCATTTGGTTCAAGAAAGGAAAAAAAGAGGTTGAGATCCTTTCCTGTAGTCCAATATCCTCTTTAAACAAATAGATAAAAATACTTTGTTCTCAAATGACTTCTTTAGGTAACTTGCTATTTGGCGGACTTGGGTAGGTGACCTTTCATGATTAGGCCATGTTGTTCTGTCCCACCCCTGGCAAAATGTCGTTACACGTTTCCTTAGGTCGTATTTACTGCTGCATTATTTTGGAAGAATTTATTTAGGGACCAGATATTTGGTAAAACTCATGTTATGTTTTCCTTTCACTGATTACTTGTTTTTTTTTTTTTTTTTGGCTGTATGTTACTCTGTTGAATTAAATGATGAGAGCTAATCAGATTATATTCAGAGATAAGAAAAAAAAGTGTCCTCTCAAAAAGAAGTTCTCTAGGGTCAGCAGGTTGCCAAATAACATTCCCTCCTACATTGAGATTCTGATTCATGTTCTTTTGGTTTGTCCAAATATAGTTTTTAAAGGAATCAGAAATATTAGCTTCTTTGCAGTAGTGGGGCCTATGTGAATGACTTAAAATTCTGCTAATAAAAATTTGTAAATGCCAGTAAAAAACCTTATTTTTACCAAAAGCGACTTCTGTATTCATATCTCTCTTCAAGTATTCTGTTCATTCTCCCACTCATAAAGCAGTTTCAAATCTTCAACAAAGAAAACAACAATCAAAACATAACTTAAATAAAATCTTTTCTTTTTGATACCAATTTTCTTTCTGTCATCTCTGTCTGTTCATGTTCCCCAGATTCAACGCCCTGGGTGCGTAAATGATGTATGATTGAAGGTGAGTTAAACACACTTTTGAGAACATTTGTGTCCCCATTGAAAGCTATATGCTTCCTTGCGCTCAGCCACAAGCTGATGGACACGTGCAACCACTAAAGCCGAATGGAGAGAGGACCTGTAAGCATGGCTTTCTCATGCAATCGTGACGTGAAGCCTTGCTTGCTACACTGCACACTACAAGCTGACTGTCAGCCTCCCTGGCTTCCATGGGCTCACCTCCTGAGTTTCTTAGTGATGTCTGCTTTTGAATAATTGAGTGCAAAGCCAAGAGAAACAGCCCTGACTAGGCAAATGTGGAGAGTAAGGGTTTCAGACTTTATGTTCCCTATAAAATTCTAATCAGCAACGCAATAGGAAGATGCTTAGAAAAGCAGAGATTCTCTCTCTGCCTTCTAAGGAGGCTGTACTTCCTTTCCTTCTCTTTCTGCATCCTCATCTTAGAGTCTGAAACACCAGGAAGACAAAGGCTGATTTTGGAAGCTCAAAATGGGCATTCTTTACCCACCTTCACCTTCAGATAAAGGGGTCACCAGGTGGCTGCCCCACTGCTTTCTGTGGGGACTCCAGGAAGCAAGGAAGGCTGTTCCAAGAAATTAAAGAGCAGTTATGACATCTGAATCTCCTCAAGTCTCTGGTGTGCCCTAGCTTCCATGGTGTCTTTCCCTGTCACCAATCCCAAGAATCAGAAAGAAGCCATAGGAATGAGAAATTGAGTTATTAGATCCAAAGTTCCTGGCTGATTGCTAGAAAGGGTAAAGGCAATGCAAGCATATTAATGGCTTTCTTTAGAAAACATTTATTTTCATTTTTTGGTATCATTTAAAGGATGTATTCTTGGTGAATCATCAAAAGCAGCCTAGTTAGCTGTGTATTTTTTTTTCCTTAAATAAGTTAATTTCTCCTTAGTACATTTGGTTCCAAGCAGAGATGAATTTCTTTTCAACATTTCTTGGTTCTAGTCACTGAATTTAAGGTAAAAATAGCAAATGCAATTCAGATGGCCATGCCTTCAGTCACCAAAATGATTTATGGAGTCAGTTTCATATCTCTGCAATATATCTATATATATATATATATATATGTGTGTGTGTGTGTGTGTGTGTGTGTGCGTGCACGTGCATGTGTTTGTGTATTCTCTGTTATATATATTATCTCCAAAATGCTTTATGCAGTCAGTTTCATATCTCTGCAATATGTGTGTGTGTATTCTCTACTTTATATATATATAAAATACATATAGCAATATATAAATAATATAATATATATAACTGATATATAAGTTCTTGAACAGTTAAACTTCTAATCTGGATGGAATTGCTCATCTCATGACAAGTGAATTCTGATCCTGTTTGGCAGCTAGATAAATGAATGAACTTAGGCAAGTCATTTTATTCAAAATTAAGACAAATTAGTTAGAGGAGAGAGTTTTTAAGTTTCCTTTCCACTCTAAAATGAATATATCTTATGATGGTGGTAATTTTTGTAATATAATAAATAATATTTCCCCAGTGAATTTGCCCATCCCAAGCCCACTGCCTTTCACTATGGTATGACATTTCTCAACTGGATCTACCAAAAGATAGACCATCATAACTTAGGGTTTAAGAAAATAAAACCAAAATATAATTATCTTAGAGCAATTTAATGTATAATGATCTTAAATTAAAGAACAAACTTCTTGTGTTAATTCATTTTTTTAAAAAATGCAGTACAAGTATTTAGTTATCAATTACAGTTTGATTTCTGATCTTTTCCTAACACCTGGGCAGACTGCAGAAGATAGCTCTGTTCTCTTGAACTAAAACAAAGTATGGCTTTTTAAATAAAGTTATATGAGTCTGATTTTAGAGGTGTTAGTAAATAAAGCAAAATATCTGGAGGCAAAACCTAAAGTTCATATGGAGCATAAATGGGAATAAAACAAAATATTTCTTCTCCATACTGTATGGGAGAGATATCAAGTTCTCAATGGCCAGCCAATATTAAAGCTAACACCTAATCAAACAGAAAATGGGACATATCACATCAAAAATTGGCCTAAGAGGAGCACATCCAGCACCCAGATGTTGGTGTCCAGTATAATTTTTCAAGGTAAAGAAACCAGTGCCCTTTAAAGAAATGGCTGATTCTAGGGATAGGGACAAGAAATACAGGTGATATACCCTGTAATTCCAGAAAGCAAGAAAGTGCTTAAAACAAAAAGCAAAAAACCCCACAATGATGGGTGTATAGCAAAGGGACACAGGAGCCAGGTGCAAGAGCTCCCAGGAACCAAAGCTGGAACAACTTGAGCAACAAAGTAAATAAAATAGTATTAACTTGGAACCCAAAATATAACATAGATATCCAGGAGTCCATACTGACATAAATAAATAATTAAATAGGTAAATAAATGGAGGAGAAGAACGCTCCCATATAGAAGAATTCCAAATCATTTATGTAAATACTCTGCCTCCAATCAGATGGAACATAACTCCCTACTCTTAAAGTGTGAGTTGCATATAATGACTTTCTTCAAAAAAAAAAAAAAATGCATCATGGAAAGGACGATAAAGAATAACTTTGGCCGGGCGCGGTGGCTCACGCCTGTAATCCCAGCACTTTGGGAGGCCGAGGAGGGTGGATCATGAGGTCAGGAGATCGAGACCATCCTGGCTAACAAGGTGAAACCCCGTCTCTACTAAAAATACAAAAAATTAGCCAGGCGCAGTGGCGGGCGCCTGTAGTCCCAGCTACTGGGGAGGCTGAGGCAGGAGAATGGCGTGAACCCGGGAAGCGGAGCTTGCAGTGAGCCGAGATTGCGCCACTGCAGTCCGCAGTCCGGCCTGGGCGACAGAGCGAGACTCCGTCTCAAAAAAAAAAAAAAAAAAAAAAAAAAAAAAAGAATAACTTTACAGTTGAGAAACCTGAAAACCCGACCGCAGTCAGATGACCAGGGTTAATATCATAAGCAGTAAGTCATGTAGACAGAATGTACCCTTGATATGACATAATGAGAATGGCACTTTACCTTTGTAGCTTTCCTCCCAAAACACATTACTCTACTTTGATCAAGAGAAAAATATCAGACAGATCTCAACTGTGGGACATTCTATAAAGTTCCTAATCAAGACTCCTCAAAACTGCCATGGTGGTCAAAAATAAAGACTGAGAAACCATCACAACCAGAGGAAGGCTAAGTAATGTGGTATCCAGGATGGGGTCCTGGAACAGAAAAGGATATTAGAGAAAAATTGAGGAAATCTGTATAAAGTATGAGCTTTAGTTAATAATAATGTATTACTATTGATTTATTAATCGTGACACCATACTATTGCAAGATGTTAGCAACCTGGACAATTGGGTGTGTCAGGCACACAGGAACTCTCTGTACTCTCTCTGCAATAATTCTGTACATCTAAAACTTTCTGAAATTTAAATGTGCTCTAAAATAAAAAGTTTATTGTAAAAATTTGATCAAAATGTAAAAGAGAAAAATTATGAGTATTTGGGGAGATGAATTGGGGAAATTGTTTGGTGAAATGTAAATTTTGCTTATTTTTTCTCTCCTTAATCCCAGCTAAATTGGCCAAATAATGTCCCAACTGTTACTTTGCCTCAGGCATGGGAGCCATTCTTTAGTTCAGAATGAGAGATCTCTCCATAATTATGTATGATTACGATTTGTTAAATATATATTCTATATAAAATATATATAAAATGAATGAACCAAAAGAAAAAGAGATCTACAGCCTCATCTTCAACAATAATATACAGACATTTAAGACAGATTTTTTTTCAATCATCACAAATGTGAAGTACTTCATAAATGGTCATGCCCTACCTCTGTATGAATTATTTAACAACATAGTAGCACCAGCTAACTGAAATACTCAGAGAAAAATGAAAGCATAAACAGAAAACAATACATGAAAAGAAAAAAAGAAGCTGTAAAATTTGTCCTTTGCCAAAGTACTAGATAATTCAGTTTAAACATAAAATAAGTAAACAAATCTATGGATAAACTTTGCCTGTCTTTCACACAGATATCCCGGTAGTTTGGAAAAAAAATACTGAAAAATCCATCAGCAGCAGAAAGAAAAGAAAGAGAATTTATCTTTAGGACAAACCAATGACTCAGTTAGGTTCTGAGCTAAAAATAAAATAAAATAAAATCCCCTTCTCTAATTTTAATCACACAATTAAACTAGAACAACTCACAGGGGCCTGCCATGACCTGTTTTTGAGAAACGGTGGCACGCCTGTCACTTAGTCTAAAGTTAGACCCAAACAGGAACAGCAGAGACCTGGGAAGAACACTGAAACCATCTTCAGGGTTGGCCTCTCATCGAATGCGAATCTGTAGGGTGTCAGCAGAACTGCCTCCATTCTGCAAACCAAGAGGGTCTGCAAACCAAGAGGGACGGGAGGAGAGAGAAAGCATGACAGCCGAGCAAGCTCCCACTTCTTCTCCATTCTGACTTGTCGTTTTTAGAATCCTGGTGAAATAAGTTACAAAAAAAAATAATAAACCCCAAACAGGAATATTCTGGGGAATAAGTCTTGACTTTGTTAACTAACAATTTCTAGAGCACAGTTTAATATTTTGTCTGTATGATTAATATGATTTATGCTATTATAGCACCAATCCATCTTTTACGTGCACCAAATAATTTCAATAGTGTCATTTCCAAGTTTACATTCAGTCAATCTTCATAAAAAATATATCATGGACTGAATGGTGTCCCACCAAAATGTATAAGCTGAAGCCCTAAAGTCCAGTGCTAGTATATTGGAGAGCGGGCCTTTAAGGAGGTGACTAAGGTTAAATGAGATCATGAGAGGGAAGCACTGATCCAATAGAAGGGTGCCCTTACAAGAAGAGGAAGGGATACCAAACCTCTCTCTGTCATCTGAGGGCATAGCAAGAAAGTAGACATTTGCAAGTCATGGAGAGAGATCTTACCAGAACTCAACCATGCTGGGACCCTGATCTTGGACTTCCAGAACTGTTAAAAAATAAATTTCTCTTGTTTAAGCCATCGAATCTGTGATATTTTGTTATTGCACCCTGGAAGTGACACAGATTTTATTACCAAGAAGTAGAGTGTGGCTGTAGCAAATAACTAAACACACAGAAGTGACTTTGGAACTGGTAGTGGATAGAGGCTAGAAGCACTTTGAGGTGCATTATAGAAATACAGATGTTAGGGGCAATTCTGATGAGGTCTCAGATGGAAATATTAGAAATTGGAGGAAAGGTGTCCTTGTTATAAAGTGACGAAGGATTTGGCTGATCTGTGTTCCAGTGTTTTGTGGAAGGTAGAACTTACAAGTGATGCAATTGAGTATTTGGCTGAGAAAATTTTTAGGCAAAGGGCTGAAGAAATGTGTCTTAGTGTGTTTTGTGCTGCTATAACAAAATACCTGAGCCTGGGTAATTTATAAAGCACAGAAATGTATTTCTCATAGTTCTATATGTTGTCGAGTCCAAGACCAAGGTGCTGGCATTCAGCGTGTAACGAGAGCTGCTTCTGCTCCCAAGATGGTTATTCCAGAGGGAAGTGTTGCTTGTGCCCTCACATCATGGGAAGTGAGAGGGATAAAAAAGAAACAAAACTATCTCCATCAAGCCCTTTTATAACGGCGTTAATTCATTCATGAGGGTAAGCACCTCTCAAAAGTCCCCACACTTTTGCACTGGAGATTAGGTTTTCAACACATTAATTTTGGGAGACACATACCATAGCAGAATGGTTTTGTTTCTCCTGACTACTTATAGTAAAATGCAAAAAATAAAAAAAAAAATGAATTGAAAAAGGAAGTTTTAAATAAAAAGAAGCCAGAATTTGAAGATCTGGAAAATCCTCATATCATGCATATTGAAAAAAAAAAGAATAAATGAATGAGAAAGCTTGTTCTGAAGACAACACTATGAGTATGGTTAAACAACCATTTATTTGATAAAGACAGCATGGGAGTGACTCATGGACTTAATCAGCCATCTCATCAGGAAACCAGGAATAGAGATGACATTAACAACACTGCCAGTTTCAGCTAAAGAGGACAGAGATCTGTCAGCCCTTCCTTCTTTATCATTTCTTCCTTTTGGAATGGGAAGTTTTAGTCTACGACTGTCTATCACTGTATTTTGAAAGCATATAACTTGTCTGGTTTCACAGTGTTACAGCAGGAGAGAATTTTTCTAAGATGCATTGAGTCTCATTCATATCTGATTTAGATACTATTTAGATGAGAGTTTGGACTTTAGACTTTAGGGCTGTTGTTGGAATGAGTTAAGACTTTTGGAACTGTTGAGATACAATGAATGTATTTTTTATGCAAGAAGAACACAAATCTAGGGAGACCAAGGGTGGAATGCTATGGATGGAATTGTGTCCCCCTAAACTTGGCATACTGAAGCCTCATCTTCCCAAATGACTATTGGAAATAGGGAATGATTAAGGTTAAATGGTGTGATGAGGTTGGAGCCAATGAAACTGATGACTTAAAACAAGAGGACAAGATACCAGAACTCTCTCTTTCTGTCACGTGTGAATGCAACAAAAGCGGGGCCATCTGCAAGCCAGGAAGAGTCCTCACCAGAACCTGAGCATGTCTGCACCCTTATCTGAGACTTCTAGCCTCCAGAACTGTGAACAAATAAATTTCTGTTATTTAAGCCACCCAGTTCCTGCTTCTTTGACAAAAGACCATGCTAACTAATACATAGCAAGCAAGGTAGTGTGGTCCCCATATAATTGGGGTTACCTTCCCTCAAGACACACTGTAGGACTGTACTGCCTTAGTCTCTTTTAAAAGAAGGGAAAACCACGTGATATATTTTAGCCAATGAAATACCAGCAAGGGTAACATTTATTACCCTTACAGCTAGCCTTTAATAAGAAAGATCATGATTCTCCCCACGTTCTATTTTAATTGCTTCTGCAACTTGTAGTGGCCCAGATGGTGAAGTTTCCATCAGGCTGTATGTCGGAGCAAGGACAGTGGGGAGTGAAGTTCCTAGTTAACCCGTAATGGACACGAATGTAAGTGAGAATGAATGTGTTGTTTAAATCACTGAGACTTTTCATTGTTAGGGTTGATAAAGCCATCTTAGTTCCATGGGGTGGGGAAATAAATAAATATAGGAAGCAAACAAACAAAAACCCTTTAGTCCTGTGGGTAGAGGGTAGGAAAAGCAGAAGCAAACAACAATAATAAGAAACTTTGTAACGTTCTGCTATAGCCCGCTGAATAACCACAGTGGGCATATAATCCAGATACAGTAATAAGTACAGCATGTTGACCTTTTGTAACAATATAGACATTTTAATTATGAGATTGTCCAACTGATTTTGTAATCCAGTGAGAAATCACAAAATTTCATTTTATGCTTTCAAGATTGTATTACAAATGTCTACCCAGATCCAAGATAATTTTGGAACAACTTTTGATTTTACCTAACCTTGTTTAACACTATTGCAAAGTATTTTTTTAATGATGAACCACAGAAAATTAATCTCACTGATTTATAATAAAACACATATTGAGATTGGAATTTGAAATTGGTCACATTTTGGTATGAACCTTTTATAATCTCAACTACATTTCCAAGGCCAGCACTTAGCCTCCTTTGTCATACCACTCCTTGACATCACCCCACTACTTTGAACTATCTACCTTTCCTTCCATGGATCACGTCTTTTTGCAACGTCAAGCTTTCACACAATGGGTTTCATCTGCTTTAGAGTTATCCCATTCATCTTCTGGAAGATGACTGCTCATTCCACAAAACCCAACTCAACTGTCAATTCCTCTGCAAAACCTTGGCCAACATTTTTACAAATAATTATTTCCCCCTTTACATTCCCAAATCATTTTATGGATATCTCTATTCCAGCACTTATGCCTCTTCATTATAAATCAGCTTTTAACATGTCTCTTCCTTGTATTTGAATTTTAAGTTGGCTGAAAACATCTCTTACTTATTGTGTTATATAGTTACTATATACTTCTTGAATGAACGGGTGAATATGTCAAATTACAAACTAGTTCTGCCTGAAAATGTTGACTGCTTAATAAAGGTGAATAATTATGTTGATAGAGTTTAATTTTTTTCTTAATTGTTAAGGGGAAACAAATTGTAAACTTGCTTGCTTTCATTTTTCTTGTCCCTGCTGTATGTCTTACGTACACTACAAATTGAGTATCCCTTATCTGAAAAGCTCAGGACCAGAAGAGTTTCAGATTTTTGATTTTTTTTTTTTTTTTTTTTTTTTTTTTTTGAGACGGAGTCTCCCTCTGTCGCCCAGGCCGGACTGCGGACTGCAGTGGCGCAATCTCGGCTCACTGCAAGCTCCGCTTCCCGGGTTCACGCCATTCTCCTGCCTCAGCCTCCCCAGTAGCTGGGACTACAGGCGCCCGCCACCGCGCCCGGCTAATTTTTTGTATTTTTAGTAGAGACGGGGTTTCACCTTGTTAGCCAGGATGGTCTCGATCTCCTGACCTCATGATCCACCCGCCTCGGCCTCCCAAAGTGCTGGGATTACAGGCGTGAGCCACCGCACCCGGCCGATTTTTTTTTTTTTAAATATTTGCATTATATTTACTCATTGAGCATCCCTAATCTGAAAATCCAAATGCTCTAATTAGCATTTCCTTTCATCATTATGTCAGCACTCAAAAAGTTTGGGATTTTGGAGCATTTTGAATTTCAGATTTTCAGATTAGGAATTCTCAAAGGGTATGATAAGACAGGGAGTTTTGATATGCTGGCATTTAAGTTTGCTGGACTATGCTTTGTAACTGCTGATTAGAAAGAGTATAAGGAGCCTTGGAATTCTCTACCGTTCTGCTCAAATTTCCATTTGTAAACTTCTGACATGTGATTTTTATTCCTTAGATAACAGAGGGGCTTTCTTCAACTTTCTTCACATTCAGCCTACTGAGCCTCTTCAGTATCCATCCCCACCACTCCTGTGGACAAGAACAAAAGCAAAGAAAAAAAAAAAACCACAGGAACCAGAGATGCCTTTTTATCCTCTTAATCAAAGGCTATGGCTGCCCCAGCTTGGTACACACTCCAAGCAGCTCTCCCAAGTAGGGCTCGTTGAGATCAGCTTGCTATAGAATGTGGCCAGCCAGCAAAAAACAGAGAAACTACAAATCACTGCATCCACCCTTTATCCTAGACCCTTACCCTGACCGGAAAAAAAAAAAAAAAAAAAAAAAAGGAGAAATGAAAAGAACATTGGATGAGCCAATGGATGAATTTTTGTAAATGTGCAGGCACCATTTATATGTGTTCTAGCATGAGACAAGGGAGGCAGCACTGTATAGAGTCTGGCATCAATAAGATGGGATTACAAGGAAACTCCATGACTTACTATTGTGTGGTCTGAGATAGTTAGTTAGCCTATTAAGTCTTGGTTTCTTAATTTATAAAGCAGGGAGGGGGTCATGATAGTATCTCTATTAGGACTGCTGACAGGGTGCTGAACACAGCCCAGCACACCTAGCTCAACATATCTCACTCCCCTTGAGAACCAGCATTTTTATTCATAAGGTCCCTGAGAACAATACACAGAAGGAGAGCCCTCATGATTAATAAACACTAGCATTATACCAGCAACTTGATTAGTTGGATTTGTTTGGATAAGATGGTGGAAATAGCTGGGATGGATTTTGAAAGATTAGAATTTGGAACTTGGCTGAACCTCTAAGGATTTGTATCACCTTTCACAAGTCACTTTTTTAGCTTTAGTTGGCTCATCTTTCAAACAAAGGAGTTAAAAAAAAAAAGATGAGTCTCATCTGTGGTGCTAATTGTGAAATCGCTGTGATAAACTAGGCTTTATTCTTTTGTATGCAAAACGAAATGGTAGTAGTGGTAGAGGTGAAAGCAGGGGTGTGTGTTTATAAAACAGGTATCCTAAAAAGCCACGAAGCCATAGGTTGCTAGCCAGCCAACTGATATTTGGATCTGTGTCCCTGCTCAAATCTCATGTTGAAATGTAACCCCCAGTGTTGGAGGTCAGGCCTGGTGGGAGGTGATTAAATAAATCATGGGGGCGGAGTTCTCATGAATGGTTTAGTGCCATCCTCTTGGTACTTTCCTCACAACAGTGAGTGAGTTCTCATGAGATCTGGTCATTTTAAAATGTGTGGCACCTCTCTTCCCCTCTCTTTGCTCCTGCTTTCCCCATGTGAAGTGCCTGCTCCTGCTTTGCCTTCTGCCATGAGTCAAAGCTCCCTGAGGCCTCCTCAGAAGCAGATGCTGCCATGCTGCCTGTACAGCCTACAGAACCATGAGCCACTTAAACATCTTTTCTTTTCTTTTCCTTACTTTATCTCAGGTATTTCTTCATAGCAATGTGAGAATGGACTACTACACCAACCAAGCTATTAATAAAATAGTCAAGCCCTATTTATGATAACCTGAGAGGTTCTGATCTGGCAATACACAAAATACTTGCTATGAAATTTGAGTTAAATATCATCAACGATTCTGTCAACTTCTTCTCCTGTTAGATTTTAAGGCTACAAGTCCTCCATAAATTCTGATTTCAAAAGACAAATATGGCTTGAGTGACGATTGCAAAATGCTTGCAAATCAGAGCTTCAATTTGGTATCCTTTTAAGATTTCAGCAAAGCATGTTCCTTCAAATAATATGACCTGCAAACCAGATAATATGTTGTAACGGAGTTCATGACTAGCAAAAATATAATGTGTCGTAGCATGCTATCACAACTTTGACAGACTTCCATGAATTTATGAGAACAAAAGAAAAAAGGAAGGAAAAAACAAGAGAGGAAGAAAAGGAAAGAGAGACAAAGAAAGAGAAAATGCACTATTGAATGAGAATTCCTGGAATAGCAAGTACATTGTCTACCTAGAAAAGTCTGAAAATGTCACTTAGCTCTAATTTTCAGAGAAAGAGGTAGAGCTAGTGTCGATGTTACTTAATAATTTTATGCCATTAAGTGTATCTGGAAAGAAATTGTTTTATTTTCAAAAGGCAAATTCTTTCAACAGGAACATTGAAGGCATATTTTAAGAAAATTTTACTGTCATTCAGTCAAATCTATATGGTGATCATGGATCTGCTAAAGGTCAGTTTTTAAGTTTGGTTAAGATTATGGGGCCAGTTGCAGACACTCTGGGCTAGAACCCAACTCCACCCTTTCCTAACTAAGTGAACTTTAGTAAGCTACTTAACCTGTCTTCATTTTAATTTTCCCATTGTCAAAATTGGAATAATGAAAGTATTCTGCATTATCAGGGTATGGTGGAACAATAAATAAAACAATTCATAAAAGCACTTATAATATCTGGCACACAGGAAAGATTCAATAAATATAAGGTATATTTATTAGTGTATTCTTATTTAAATATTTACATGCTATATATTTAGTTACAAAATACATATGTATATCAACTCATAATCTGATGTAGGCAAGGTAATCTATATCCCTGACTTAATGTCTTCATTATAACTCCATTTGAACTATTTTTTTCTAATATTGCTGCCATACAGAGTGAAGCCAAGGTACCCACTGGACTCATGAGCCTAGAAAGCTGATGTAGATTCTCTAAATCTCTTTGATTTTCTAAGAGGCAGGTTTATTGCAGCCTTGTTGTTTTGAGACCTACTCTTAAAGACATACCTTCCCTGTCATGTTGATTGATCCCCATCCTTCCCCCTGGAGCAAAGGGACAAGAACAACAAACATATCCTCTAGAAGGCCACTGGCAACTCTCCTCTCTCTTCCACCTCACTGGAAGTCCTCTACTCAGTTGCAGTGTTGCCATTTGCCTGTCCTTCAACGATCATGTCCTATTTTAGCTGGCCCAAGGACATATAATTTCTTTTAATGACTTTTCAGTTGAAAGACTTTGGAAGAACATGGCTCACTGATCAGGTAATCTAAAATATTTATTTTTCTAATAATGATAATAATAATAACAACAACTACCACAATATATACTAGGCCTTGCTTTAAGAACTTTATCTGAACATCATCTCATTAAATAATCTTACGAGAGGTGCTAACATTGTGCTTACTTTGCAGCTGAGAAAATCGAGGCTAAGAGGTGAAGTAAGCAGTTGTAGGGGTCTCACAGAAAGAAAGGCGTGAGGCTAGAATCCTGAAGCAATAAGAGTGTTCCCCCTCCCATTTTCTCTGATTTGCCTTACTAATCCATTAGTAATTCAGCCTAGTTTTCCTGTTATGGAAAGACTTTCTCTGATTACTTTTCCTCTCTTTATCCATTTTACTTAATGCCCATAACACTGTTATATTGCTTTAATCTTTGTTGATGGCTTATGAATTCATTTTGAAATTTCCAGTCCACGCACTACTGTTTCTGGGGTTTAAATTCACATCCATTTTTTCTTTAATTCCCCTTTACCTTTTAAACAAACTTCTTACCACGTTTATCACTTGTATTTTCATGTAACTCTGAGGATCAATTTGTCTCTTCAGTTTGGGACTCAGCCATAACCTCTATAGCCAGTATCTTCTCTTCCTGGCTTCCTTGATAAGTGTGTCTCTATAGAATATTATTATTTTACTGTAATAAGTAGGACATAAAATATACAAGATAACTAACGGAATCAACGACACTGAAAGACTATTCATAAGTACTCAGATGTTCAGTCTTTCCATTTTCATTGTTGCGCTAATTAGGTTTTTTTGTGTGATTAGTGTTTATGAACTCAACCCAGTACAAGCAAATAAAATTCTGCACAGGATATTCCTGAAGTGATAGGTCACATTAAGAATCCCAAGGAATAAACGCATGCTACTCATGGGGATGAAACTGGGGCAGAGCCAAGCGTCCACTGCCAAACAAACATGAATTTGCATCTTCCGACCCTTCCCCTGCAACACTGAAGCTTCTGGTTCAGTAGTCACAAAGCTGTTCTCCAGGGAACAAAGCCTGTTTCTGTTGAGGCGGGTGCAGTTACCAGCAAAGAAACCCTCATCATGATCCAACTGTAGTTCAGAGGCACGTGAGGCACAGGAAGCAATTTTGACAAAGAATAGCAAGAGCTATCCATACAAATATAGAACAAAAACATAAAAAGGCATAAAAGGTATTGATAATTAATTTAAAATACCATAAGGAAATCATAGCTAAAGTGAGGGGGAAAATAGAGCCTCAACAAAGACAAACGGTACTGCCGAGGCCACGAAAGTGAATGCCCCAACACTTTGGACTAGAATCGTAACGCCCAAATTTTTTTCCTGTAATTATGGTTCTACTTATCCCATCTTAGAGTCATAAAAAAACTTGAGTGGATAGGGGATTATTTCATGCTGGGAATATAGAAATAACTTTGAACAAATTGCCCGTTGGTGATTATTTAAATAAAACATCATAATTGGAATACGTTGGTCGATAAAGGCAATTTTTTTTCCTTCTCTCTCTTTTGTGGAAGAACAATACACTAAATGCTATCTTGATTTTTTTACTGCATTTTCGTAAATACAGTATTTAATGCCAGGTGCCCCCTCAATTTTACATTGTGATAGGCTACACAAAAGGAGGAGTAAATGCACTCAGAGTTGTTTTCCACACCACTTGGGCTCTGAGAAATCATTAACAACATTCTCTGCTTCCGTATTATCTTCTGTGATAATTATATGCAGCTTGACTCAACGGTGCTCACATTTAATGGGTCTCACTTTTACCACTTTTATTTCAATGGTGCATCTCTTGAAGAGTTGCATTTGCCATCATTGTATTCACACTCTTTCAAAATATATCTTGCAAACAGAAGAGGTTCTCCATCTTCCTTCTTCGCGCCCAACAAAGAAAAGTCTAGTTTTTGATTATCTTAAGATGACAGAATATCCTACATTGTAAATTCATCTTTCTCAAGTGGGATGAAGAGATTTAGACTTTCCATGTCCTCACTTCTGTAGGTACATTCATGCGTTGAGGGCAGTTAAAGGGCCATGATCATAATCTCATAGGCACTATCTGTCCATCTTTCTATCCTGAAAGAGTTGCCAGTTGATAGGACCTTTCAGATTTAGCCATTAATTTTTGAAATAATTTCTTCTTTCAACTGATATTTAAGTAGAATTAAACAAATTATTTCTTCATAATACTTCTCTTTTTTCCTTTCTTTCTTTTTTCTTGTCTTTTTTTTTTTTTTTTTTGAGACAGAGTCTCACTCTGTTGCCCTGGCTGGAGTGCAGTAGCATGATCTCGGCTCACTGCAGTCTCTGCCTCCCGTGTTCAAGTGATTCTCCTGCCTCAGCCTCCCGAGTAGCTGGGACTACAGGCACGTGCCACCATGCCCAGCTAATTTTTGTATTTTTAGTAGAGACGGGGTTTTACCATGTTGGTCAGGCTGGTCTTGAACTCCTGACCTCATGTTCTGCCCTCCTCGGCCTCCCAAAGTGCTGGGATTATAGGCATGAGCCACCACGCCTGGCCCATAATGCTTTTCAATAGGTAATACATACACAATACTACTTAAAAGCCTGTAGTGACCAAAACTTATGTCTACGCATCAGAGAAAACATGGAAGAATGAAACGTACTCCCTGTCCTCAAAATTTTGATAGAGGAATAAGCTACAAACATAAGAACGTTAAGTGAGAAATGCTAGAAAATTGCTATGGACCTCAAATGCTATAGCAAATAAGAGGAAACAGAAATTATCATGAGCATTGCTGTTGTCTCCTGGATCCTCAGATTTGGAGCATCTAATCTAAAGCATGAAGGAATTCAAAGCCATCTAGTTCAGCTACCATTTTAGGTATTGGATCTCCTTGCCAAACACTTGGTGGAATGGAAGCACTGGATACTCATGAGTGCCCAGTCTCTGCTTGAAGCTGTGTTATGACAGGGAGAGACTACTCTCTGTGAAAACAGCTCGTTCTCACTCTGCCTTTTGAAAGCTCTTCCTTATATTCAGTTGGAACTGCTACAAGTCTTCTACTTCTACCCCAGCAAGCATATAGCTTTTAAAAGTGTAAGATCTGGAGTCAGACAGACTGGATTCAAATCCAGACTTCACCAATAACTAAGCGTCCCTATGTAAACAGAATACCTTCTCTACATCTCAGTTTCCTCAACTGTAAAACAGGAATATTTAACCAATGATGCCAAACTGATAGTGTTACTATGAGGATTTGATGGACACAAGGCTGGTCATTTATCAAGCACTCAGTTAAGGCTGGCTATTATAATTATGACAACACTTTGGCTATTTGAATATAAGTCACTGGTATCCTCTTCCCAAGATGTTCTTTTATACTATAAGGAAACAACATTTAGAGAAGTTAAATGACATACTCAAGGTCATATGTCTGGTAAGTGACAGAAACAAAAAGAACGGAGATTTTCTAAAAATCCAGTGAACTTGCTCCTGAAAAACATTTCAGGAAAGTTTTAGATGCTTTAGCCAGGACAGTAACATAATTTGTTTTATAATAAATGGTACTAGAGTACTCAGGGTAGATTTCAATGTTCAAGACCATCCACTGACACAAATGCTTTATGAGGAATTAGGGATATGAAAAACTAAAGAAATTGTCTTAATGAGAAAGAATGTCTTTAAATCCAAAAGTAATCACTACTATAAGCAAGAACTCATAATTTCTATCCCCCATATCTCTTCCTCTTCTTTCTATTTCTATTTTTAAAACAATTTTCAGCTTCAACATTTCTCATACATCTCATAGCTGGATCAATTCAATAATT
The DNA here is from genome assembly GCF_000001405.40 of Homo sapiens. NCBI lineage: Eukaryota > Metazoa > Chordata > Mammalia > Primates > Hominidae > Homo > Homo sapiens. The sequence goes on along the minus strand of NC_000005.10, from coordinate 167,329,684 downwards.
TCCTCAACAGATTTTTCCTAATTCCAATGTCTACCCACTCAAGCTCCTTGCTGCACACCATTTCCAAAATTATTAACAAAAACGTAAGGGGAGTATGCCACCTCTTTTTTTTTTTTTTTTTTTTTTTTTTTTTGAGACTGAGTCTGGCCCTGTCACACAGGCTGGATTGCAGTGGCATGATCGCGGCTCACTGCAAGTTCCACCTCCTGGGTTCATACCATTCTCCTGCCTCAGCCTCCCGGGTAGCTGGAACAACAGGTGCCTGCCACCACGCCAGGCTATTTTTTTTTTTTTTGTATTTTTAGTAGAGATGGGGTTTCACCATGTTAGCCAGGATCGTCTCAATCTCCTGACCTCATGATCCGCCCGCCTCGGCCTCCCAAAGTGCTGAGATTACAGGCGTGAGCCACTGCACCCAGCCCACCACCCTTCTCTTTAAAAATTTTCTAATGGATTCTAACTCTCCATAAGACCATGTCCAAACTTCTTGACAAGGTATTCAAGATTCTTCCAACCAGTCCCAATTCTATCTACCCAGACTCATCTCCCACAGGGGTTGTTGTTGCATGAAGCCAATAACTCAACAACTGACCTGTTTTCAAATGGCCAATCAACTTTAGTTATTATAACAACATTTATTCTGGAAGGTACTAACTCCTTTCTCCAACTATTGTCATGTATTTATTCATTCAACCAACATATATTGGTCACGATTTTAGACATCACGGATATGGTAATAAACAAATAACAAGACCCAGTTCTCTTATTTTAGTGGGAAGACAAGCCAAAAAAGCTAAAACTAAACAAAATATATACTTTGTTAAATACTGATAAACACTAAAAAGAAAATAAAGCAGAGAAACAGGATAGAGTATACCGAGAAGGAGGGTCAGGACATAAGGAAATAAGTGACTAGGGAAGACCTCACTGTTTAGGTGCTATTTCAGCCAAGAGCTAAAGGAAGTAAAATCTTCAAGTGTCTATCTAGGGAATGAGCATTCCAGCTAGAGGGAACAGCTAGGGAAAATACCATGAGGTAGTGTGATTATTTTATTTGAATGCTGGGAGAAGGCCAGTGAGGCAGCTTAGATTAACTAAAGGGGACACTTGTAGGGGAATGATTTATAAATTTAATAAGCGGGAAGAGCTTTTAGGGGCTTAAGAGTTTCAATTCTTCAAAAGATATGGGAAACTGGCTGGGTGTGGTGGCTCACGCCTGTAATCCACTTTGGGAGGCCAACGCGGGTAGATCACCAGGTTAAGAAACCCCATCTCTTGGTGAAACCCATCTCTACTAAAAATACAAAAAAATTAGCTGGGCATGGTGGTGCGTGCCTGTAGTCCAAGCTACTCAGGAGGCTGAGTCAGGAGGATCACTTAAACCCAGGAGACAGAGGTTGCAGTGAGCCAAGATTGCACCACTGCACTCCAGCCTGGCGACAGAGCAAAAATCCATCAAAAAAAAAAAAAAAAAAAAAAACGATATGAGAAACTATCGAACTGTTGGAATGGGTTATGAGCAGAGAAATAAGAAAACTGATTTTTTTTTTTTAACAAGTTCACACTTAATGCTGCGATAAATTAAGGATAACTCCAAGCTTTTAGCTTAAATACCTGGAAGACAGAAGGTGCACCATTCCACTATATCCAGTGGCTGCCTCTGCAAACCCTTTTGATTCAGCCACTTTCATCCATCTGCACTCTCACTATCTTAGCCTAAATCACCATCATCTTTTAATCTAATTTCATACAATATCATCACAAACATCATCTCTTATCCCCGCAGAGTCAATTCGTTTTGCAGAAATTAGGATGATCTTCTAAACATACAAAGCCCCACAATGGCTTACATACTGACTTATAACTTCTCATGACCTGCAATACTCTACCCTATTTCACCATTCTCTTCCTCTCTAACATCATGTCTCTGTCTTTATGACACATTCTAGAACTCTTTTCCATCCTTGGATCTCTATATACTGGACCCTCTGCTTAGAAGCCATCCCATCTCCAAATCTTTTGAAATGATTATTCCTTCACTTCTTCTGACCTCACCTTTATCGGTAAATCCTCGGGGAGGTTTTTTCTGAACATGCTGTCTCTAAGGCATGTTAATCCCTGTTTTTCTTCTATAAACAACAATTTATTCAACTGGTATTTACTGGGTGTCTATGCGCCAGATACTGTCTTAAGTGCTATTCTTTCCTGCTTTTTGCATTTATTCCAATTTGTGACTATATTTCATATTTAATTCCTGCCTCCCCAATTGAACTACAAACTCATTAAGAGCAAGAGCCAGGCATGTTTTGTTCACCATTGTATCCTTTCTGATATGTGCCAGGCAATCAAAACATATTTGTAGAATAAAAGTTTAATGTCAGCAAACTATCGCAAGGACAAAAAACCAAACACCGCATGTTCTCACTCATAGGTGGGAACTGAACAATGAGAACACATGGACACAGGAAGGGGAACATCACACACCGGGGCCTGTTGTGGGATGCGGGGAGCGGGGAGGGATAGCATTAGGAGATATATCTAATGCTAAATGACGAGTTAATGGGTGCAGCACACCAACATGGCACATGTATACATATGTAACAAACCTGCATGTTGTGCACATGCACCCTAAAACTTAAAGTATAATAATAAAATTTTTTAAAAAAGAATAAATGTTTAATGTTATTCAGAATTTGCCGGGTTTTCCTTTAGGCTTCCAATACAGAATTTATTTCATTAAAATTGTATATCATAGGTAATTATATATAGCTTCTTTCTCTAATAGCATGCAGCTTACTTGAGACAGAAACTATTTCTTCATCAGTATTGTATCTTTCAAAAGACTGCCTGAGAACTTTTGTAATTATACATGCTTCTTGCATTGAAGTGATGACTGAGTGTAACTTTGGGGTTTTCCCCAATATGTAAACTGAACATGACTTAGGAGGCTTGACTTTATTTTATATATATATATATATATATTTATTTATTATTATAATTATTATTATTATTCTGACGGAGTCTCATTCTTTTCACCAGACTGGAGTGCAGTGGCATGAACTCGGCTCACTGCAACCTCCGTCTCCTGGGTTCAAGCGATTCTCCTGCCTCAGCCTCCCGAGTAGCTGGGACTACACGCGTGCACCACCACGTCTGGCTAATTTTTGAATTTTTAGTAGAGACGGGGTTTCAACATGTTGGCCAGGATGGTCTCGCTCTCATGACCTCGTGATCTGCCCACCTCAGCCTCCCAAAGTGCTGGGCTTACAGGCGTGAGCCACCATGCCTGGCTGACTTTATCCTATTTTAAGAGTACGTATAAAATTACTACGATTTTTGGCCATTTCCAGAAATTTAATAACAAAGTAGATGTACTTCCATGCCTCAGATCCAGTGACTTCCCACTATAATATCAAAACATAGTAAATTATGTTCTCTAGAAGACTATCAAATATATCCTGCTTTCCTTACCAAACTGATCTTATAGGACAGTTTCCCTGTCTTGTCATGAAGTCCAGCCCCACTGACCTTTCTCTCTAACCCTGCGCTATACTGAGAACACTCTCTCTTCAAGCCTGTACCCTGACCACTCTTCACTCAGAATGCCCCTCACCCTCCTGGCCACCGTTCAAGCTTCTTCCCCCACTTCATGCTCCAATTCAAATGTCCCCTTTCCAGAGAGATCTTTTCAGACAGGTCCATGTAAAGGGTTCTTTCCTTATCTCTCTCCAAAGTTACTCTCTCTATGCCATTGCTCCATTTATTTTTTCCTTAACAACTCACCATTAACTGAAATTATCTTTTTAAAAAATTTACAAGTTCATGGTTGATCTCTCAACTATAGACTATAAGTTCAGGGCAGAACAGATGTTGCTGTGTTCACTGTTACCATCTTCTATGCCAGAACAACGTCTGGAATATAAGAGAACATGCATAGTAAGTATTTGTGAAATGAATGCATTAATATGTACATAATTAAAATATACCACTGATATTTATTATAAACCCCTGACCAGTGTATAGCTCTTGAACTATATGCAAGCTAAAATCCACAAGATATAATTAGGAGCATTTCTAAATTCTAACCTGGAAGTCTTGTAAGTCCACTTGTGTGGTAAGGAAAGGAGGTTTTCTGGGGTAAAGGGTGATAGACTTTAACCTGAGCAATGAGTTACTGGATTTGCAGAATTGGGCTTCTCTCCTCTGTGGGTCTGCAGGAACTAGCATACTTCCCTGTTCCTGGGAACAAAGCAACTACAATAGTTGCTTGTTGACTTGATCTTCAATTAGAACAAAAACCTACACTAGGACATTTCCTGCTATAAATTCCACCATCACTCAAACTATATTTAAACCGTATTTACTTATTTACAAGTATCATTTAAATAGATGAGTATAAATTCTTGTCGGCTAATTTTCAGTGATTTACTGAAACGCTCTATTTAAAAATGTCAAGTGGCCATTAGCAGTAAACCTCCCAGAATTTATCTGCCATAATATTCCTGCTTAAATATTGTCATTGCATTATTTCATTTTATTGGTTTATATTTAAAGAATCTTTCTGAAATCACTGAAAGTTTTTAATAGCCATTCATTCTCAGTTTAAGAGATTAAAAGACATGGATCAGAGGTGGAAGGGGAATGAACACTCCACAGACTTGATACAGCATCACCATAACTAATACCCAGTAGGGCCTGCTAGAGCCACGTTCACACTTGAGTAAGACTGAGGCAGTTTCTTGTAATGTGCCACTCTGGGTCAGGTTAAGCCGAATTCGGTCCCTCTGAACACTTTTATAGACTCAGAGGGCAGTTGTCTGGCACCTTATTAAATTCACCTTGTTTCTTTTTTCCTATAAATCATTTCAGTAATCTTCATTAAATCAATGTACCTGAAAGTGGAATACTAATATGATTATTATCATATTAGTAATATTGTAAGGCATTGCAAATACCACTAAAAACACAATCATGTTTATTTCTATTTCATATTTATTTCCATGTTTTTTTTTCCTCTTGTTCTATCCAAATACATCGTGGTCCCAATGACTGTTAATCCTTCTTGAAAGAAGGATTCAACTACCTGGTTCGATTTAGTTTTTTTTCCATAAATAAAAAGAGAAAGATGGAATTACACACACTCTCACATTTGCAGTTCAGAGTTTTGTGATCAAAACAGAGCTTTCATCATAGAATCTCATGTCCCCGAGTATTTGCTCAAATTATATGGATTAAAATATTTTGAAAAAAAATTACCTATCCATCTTTGAAAGGAGACCTACTTGGCAATGAAGAACTACATGTTGCTTCTGAGGAATACAAATTGTGAATTAGATGGATCCTATTTCTCTGGCTGTAATGCTATTTGAAATATTTTAAATATTAACAACAGTGTGTTTCTCTCCTAGAGTGCATGCTACTGCATCTCTCAAAAATGACTTGTGTAACTGAGCTGCTGATGAAAGCAATGGTGGCCTTCTATAATGGTTGTCATTGATTGAGCTTCTACAATGGACTAGTCTCTGGATTTAATGCTTCATGTAACTTATATCTAATCTTCAAAACTCTTTAAGGTAAATATTATCTTCACTTCACCATGAGGAACAGTTGGGTGACTAACTTAATTAAGGTCATGATCCAATGAAGGTCACGGCTAAGACGAATTCAAACTCAGATCTTTCAGACTAATACATCATGCCATAGGTTCTCTAGCTTGATCTTACATCAGAATAGTCTGGTGGACTTTTTAAGACCCAGATCGTTATGCCCCACCCTCAGAGCTCTTGATTCAGTAAGCCTTGGGGAGGTTCTGACTTCGTACATTTCTCTGAAGTTCACAGGTGACGTTGATATTTGCATTTCCTGAACCACATTTTGAATCCTATCATTTTCCTGTACTATATGCTCTGAGTTAGAAGGTAGGACCTGGGAATAAGAACCAATCATTGATTTTTCTCCAGGAGTTCTACTTATATTTTTATGAAATTTTAAATATACCTGTGTAACATTTATCAAAATTTTCACAGATACTTCTGAAATTTCAGGCGATTTTGGCTCTTTTTCTACTCTTCTCAATTTTTTGACTTCTTCAAAATTAGCACATGCAATTTTTATTATCAGTGAGTAAAAGCTGATTGCATTTAGGAAAAAAATATAACAAAAAACTCAGAGGTGTTAGATATTCAGAGGACACATCTCAGCACTATTTTAGGGAGGGGAATATATATATCCACATACATATATACACATATAACACACATATTATATATGTATGTATGCACCATACACATATACACACATATCTGTATCTATAAAACAAAGGTTTTATTTTTCAGCTTAACCTTGGTTAGTTAGGACGATGTCAGTTCAAATTCTGAACCAGCCGCCTACTATCCATTTAGCCATGCCAAACCAATTCACTGCTCTAAATCAGTTTCTTTATCTGTACATTCAGAAAACCAAACTAGAATAATACATCTCATAAAGGACTTTTAAAAGACTAGGTAGTCTCAAAAGTTCGGTCGAGCTCTATATGCTGTACTAGTATAAATCCTCCTTTCAGAATTTGAAGGAGAAAAAGACATTTTATGATGTGAGGGTCATTCAGATGAGACCAGAACAAACTGAAGTGTGGTTAAAGGTGCAGGGCCAGTTGGCCAGAATGCCCCTGCGACAGTTTTACATTTTTAAGTGATATCATATTACATAATAATAGCACATGACTATTTCTATTCTGTGAATTATAATTGCTAAAGGAAATACCCCGCTATTTATGAGATGCTTAGTGCATCTGTCACCATGGCCTTCTGGCCCAAATCAAAGTGATCGGAGCTATTAAGATGATTTCCCTATTTGGCTGGGTTTTAAAGACTATAGTTTTGAAGTCAGTGGCAGATGACCTACTAATGGTGTTTAATGGTTCTCTCAACAAATTGTGAAGTACCTTGAATGACCCACTGGTTAAGTACGTAAAAGGAAAATTCCAGCTTTAATCATTTAATCTTGATTCCATCCTATTTTTCTTTTGGACAGTGATGTTTATTTTCACCTTTAAGGAAGAATGGGGAGATTTAAAAAAAAAGGGGGAGGGAAAAGGTAATTAAGAGTTCTTGAGCACTGGGCTAAACATTTCATATGAGCCATCTCATTTGGTCTTCACAACCCTATAGAAGAAAGAAAGGAAAAGGTACACACAACTTGCATAGCTGAGGTCACACAGTCAGGGAGCAACGCAGTGGGATTTGAATGTGATATATTAGAATCTAGAACCCAAGTGTTTGGGTGGTGTTTCCTAGAGAGGGAAATGCAGAGATTCTCTCTCCACGGTATGGGTGGCTAACAGGGCCAGAATACAAAGCCAAGTGCACTGAAGCCTGAGATATGACTCACTGTGGGCCCTTGATAGATGTTTTTTCTTTCAAAACAAAACAAAAACAAAAAACAAAAAACAACAGCAACAAAAAAAAAAAAACAAATATTTTTGAGCACTTAAATACACGAGCATCATAAACACACAAATCAGAGTGTCAAGAAGACATAAAAGCCAATGCAGCAGCCGGGTGCGGTGGCTCAAGCCTATCATGCCAGCACTTTGGGAGGCTGAGGTGGGCAGATCACTTGAGGTCAGGAGTTCAAGACCAGCCTGGCCAACAAGGTGAAACCCTGTGTCTACTAAAAATACAAAAAAAACTAGTCAGACGTGGTGGTGCATGCCTGTAGTCCCAGCTACTAGGGAGGCTGAGGCCAGAGAATTGCTTGAACCTGGGAGGCAGAGGTTGCAGTGAGCCGAGATCTGCAACCGAGATCTGAGTTACACCACTGTAACTCCAGTCTGGGTGGCAGAGTGAGTGACTCCATCCACCCCCCCCCCCGCCCCCCCCCCCAAAAAAAAAAAAAAAATAAGCCAAGGCAGCAAGACAACAGATTCAATGCCCAGGCAGACATTAAGGGGAAATAAACAAAGAAAAGTTTGAGGAGGTAAAACTAACCTAGAGCTCATATACAGAGAAAGCATAACACAAAGCAGGGATGGATGGATATTTTGGCTGCCCCAGCCTAAGCTGCTTTGCTCCCCTTCTACCTTAGCAAACCACCTAACCGCTGGGCTGGAAACAAGGGGCAAGTTGTTGGCTGAGAGACCAAAGTTAAGGAACGTTAGAGCAGACAAATTCATGGCAAAAAAGTTTCTTACCTTGAAGCTGGTGATAAATTCTCAAGGCTTATGACTGCAGAAGGGGAAAAATGTCTCCACTCCATATAAAATTACCTTCAAAATAACTTCTATGTGATTCCTGTCTGTCAGCCTCCAGATAGAAAAGGAAAAAGCAGGCCAGAGAGAGAAGCTTCAGGAATGACACCCATTTCCTTTTTTATCCTGGCCTGAACAGCCCCAAAATGCCCTATATTTTTCTTTGTCTATTTTCATACACAGGCCAAAAAAATGAGTTTGCATCTTACTCTTGGATTATCTTTTTTTTTTTAATTTTGTGAATACATATCACAGCTAGAACTGTAATATAATTTCCAGAGAAGAGCATCAATTTTTTAAAATAAAAATCTTTTCTGACTTATCTAGCAATTTTCTAGTCCCTTCTTGTAAGGTCATTTGAAAATGGAGAATTTATTTCAGGGGCTCTAAATGCACAGAGTAGTGGCTTTTTATCCTAAGGAAGTGACTTGGAAGAACAAAACAGGAAATCAGCATTGCAGGTATGTTCTAGATTTTAGTGTTTTTTTTTGTTTGTTTGTCTTTACAGGAAGAAATTCCTCTAAAAGTAAAAAGGATACTTGAAAACAAAGATTTGAACAACCATAAAAAATAAGTTGTCCCTTGTCTTAGTCTGTTTTGTGCTACTATAACAGAATAGCTGAGACTGGGTAATTTATAATGAGCAGAAATTTATTGGCTCACAGTTCTGGAGGCTGGAAAGTCCAATTTTAAAGTGCCACCATCTGGTGAGGGCCTTCTTGCTGTGTCATCAACATGTTGGAAGGCAAGGTGTCAAGTGAGCAAGAGAGCATGAAAGGGCTCAACTCGCTCTTTTATAATGGCATTAATCTCACCCCTCAAGGCAGAGCTCTCATGACTTAATCATGCCTTAAAAGTCCCAGCTCTTATACTGTTACAATGGCAATTAAACTTCGACATGAGTTTCAGAGGGAACAAACATTCAAACCATAGCACTCCTATATGGCTAAGCCCTGAATGATCTCGTTCTGTGTCTATCAAAAGAAAAGAAGGCAAGGATCTAAAATGTCATTTAAGTCAGGATTTACCTGTAGAATCTGTCAATTCAGGCCTTTCCTGAATAAGCCCATTTCTTCTTTTGGGTCCTAACTATATTTCAGTGTGCTGGTTTTTGTACTGCCTGGACTAGTTTTATTGTATTAATTTTTATCTGTATTTAATCTCCATTAGGCTGTATGCCAATCCATTAAACAAATATTTTATTGGGAATCATCTATGTGCCAGAAGACAAACACTGTTTTTATTCCTGAGGCTATAAGCATAGCAGATCATCTGTTAAGATAGAATGAGGACTTGTTTCTTATTTGATTTTTGTTTTTCATCATATCATAAAGTGGGACTAATAGAAGTACTTATTTGGTAAGATTTCTGTTAGAGTCAAACTAGATTACATAAGCAAAGTTCTTAGCCTGTGGCCTGAAGTGTCATAAGTGTTCAACACATATTAACTATCATTACTGCTAGTAGAGTGCCTGACATACACCAGAGGTTTTAATAAGTATTTGCAGAATGAATGGTCAAAGATTGGTTGCATATAGTGTTTAACACAGTAGTGACCTTGCTTATTACAACTGGTTATATCATACATACTAACTGGTCCCTTGATTCCAGCCATTTAATAGGTTCTAGGTAGGTTTGAATATAAAGTGAGGTGACACTGAAGTAATTCTATTTTCAAAGACAAGTCATCCTGCTAATTTTTAAGCAGATACATTTGAAAGCCACATGGCATAGCAGAAATCACTGCTGATTGGAGAAAACCTAGCACCCTGATGCAGCTTCTTCCTTCAAATAGATGCATGTTATTGGAATAGTCACTTCCTAGACTTCCCTGAGTATTGTTTTTCAACTGTACAATAAGGAGGGTAAACGAAAATCTAGTTATTTTCCTCCTAGTATTAACCATCTGTGATTCTAAATCATTTGTTGGCTTTTGGTTTTTCCCCTATAGCTATCCTAGGTTGTATGGGTAAATGTAATTAACATAATAATGATCATTGTTAACACTGTCTGAGGACTTCTAAATGCGAGACAACTTGTTAAGTGCCTTTACATGGATTTTCTAATTTAATACACCCAACTAACCAAAAGAAAGTAGTATTACCTCCATTTAAAAGAAAAAAACAAAAACGAAAACCCTGAAACTGAGAAATGTATTCACTTGCTCAAGGTCATATAACTAAAAAGCAGAATTAGGGCATCTGACCCTTAACTACAATATACTTTACATGCAGTATATTCTACAGACATTCTACAACAGTGAAACAAATAATATTCAGCCTGGCCCCACACAAAGTTAATTGATTTTAAACTCCTTTCACTGATTGGTCATTAGTGAAATGAAGTCATCATTTTAAATTGGCCAACTGTATATCAATTGATAAACAGATTTTTTTTTAAAATCTCTAAATATCCCATAAAAGAAAGCCTCGAATGACAAGTTGCCTTTGCAAGGCATAACATTCTGCTAAGGAAATATTATTCCAACTGCTCTCCTATTGCTTCACGTTCTATCAACTTAATGGAAGACAACTCTAAGCTGACAGTCTCAAAAATGTAATTCACAAAATTTAAAAAACTTTCCTTTTTAAATAAGTCTCACATGCACAGATTCCACTTGTGGGCTCTGAGTCTCAAAGCTGTTGGGAACACCAGGAGGGGCATGAGATATTGCAAATGGCAGGGAACCTATATTTCTAACTGGCCACTGAAGCTGTGTGTTGGGAAATAAGGCATAGGATCCTGAATAAAACCTCCAAACATTATTTCTAAATGGAAACCATTCTTTTTGACTCAGCTGCCATTGGAAGGCAGTAAGGCCCTATTTTGATAGTGTATCAGTGAAGGCCTTAAAGTTAATTACAGCCTTGTATTTACTCTAACTCTATTATATGATATTTATAGATGAAAAGAAGATGCTTTAATCACTGAGATAGTTATAATGTGCACTTATCTCGTTTTATTCACACCGTGGGGGAAAACATGTAATTGTGTAAAAAAAAAAAAAATGAACAACTTCATCTATTCTTAAATTCCATAACATGCATTAAGTGAATCCAAGTTATTGTAGTAACCTTGTATGTCTAGTGCACTGTGCTCCTCATTTTTCTAACATGAATCATATTTAAAAGACTTCCCTATTCTGAAATGGTTAATTTCAAATTTTCTCAAGGTATTCTCCTCTGAGCCCCATTACCAACACGATTGTCACTGCAACATGGCTTTACTGACACATTGGTGTTAAAAGGCAGTGACAGAGCCAACAGGAGTGAACTGAAGCCATTTATATACACTGTAGAACTACACTGACAATCCAAAGGAACACACCATCTGCATTCTGTGTTGCTGCAACCTACTGAACTGTGGGTTTGCAATTTCAAAATTCAGAGTGTCATGCCCGATTCCACTTTAGGGAGCTCCCACAGCTGCTACTTTTGCTTCTCTGCCTTCAGAATTCTGATGCTGAAGTTAATCTATGAGGACATCCTTGTGTAGTGATGGAGACATGGCGGTAGGGCATGCTAGAGTACCACATATTTTCATGCATTTATTTATTCAAGCTGTGTGGCTTTTTATCCCCTCTTCCCTTTGCAACTTATCAACCTGAACCCTCAGACACTCACACCCACACAATGATCTCAGCAGGCAAGGAGGAAAAGCAAAAGCAAATGCACTTTAGGGAAAGGAACAGGAAACCGACACAGAAATGGCCATTACAGGACATTTCAATTTTACCTGTGGTTTCAGCTTCTGCTCCAAGTGCATGCGATGAATGTGGCCTGATTACCTTAATTCAGTGATATTGGCAATAATCACAATGGCAGGCAGTGCCTAAGAGATTGCTCTTGACAGTGGAGTTACAGAGATGGAGATGTGGAAAATTTCCGTTGAGCACAACACACAAAAGGAATAATAGACAGATGCTCAGGGATCCATTTCCTGATAGAAAGGTAGATGGCAAGAGAGCTCAATTCTCTTAGTGATTAACTGTAGGGTTGATGAGTTGGTCTTTTCATGGTCTCCTCTAGCATTATGAGTCTCCATTCTATGGTAGGATGAAAGAGCAACTAAGATATGTAACCGCCACAGAGACAGTTTAGTGCTGATTTGACTTAGAATTGAGAAAGGAAGGTTTTAAAAAATGAATAAGAATTAAATATAAAATCAATTGATGTCAAAGACAAAACACCAATGGCCATTTCTTGAATAGGAAGAATCATGAACCTACTGAAGGGATCCTTTCTAGTTGCATTATTGACTGCTGAGAGGAAGCAGATTTTCTGCCTTTGATGACCATGGCCATTTTAAATTAGGGACGTCTACTGGTTTAGGGGAATTGTAGATGGGATGAGTGTCAAGGGTTAATGATACTACAAGTTATCAATGTGATAAGAAAATAAAGGCTGAAAAGTGACCAAGGGATGATGAGGAGAGGACTGAGACATAAGAAGACATTGGTATTAGGGGGTGTGCAGAGGAAGGCTGGGACATTGTTGACTGTGTGCTCTTTTTTTGGCAACAGTCTTAGAAGAGCATAATTAGCCACAATAAAGCAGAACTCTTTACACAGTTATAACTGTCTTATGCAATATGAGTACCAGATTCTAACTGTAATTATCAATTTAAATTCACTTGTTCCAGGCTTTTCTCCATTGCAATGTCTCAAGAAATTCTTCACAAGCTTTAAAAAGACAGAAAAATATTGGTCGACATTATCTGACTCTACGGATTGTACTCAAGGGAATATCCTCTACAGAGTTTACTAAAGTGAACTTAATACACATATACAAACATGTGTGGGGATGTGTGGATATGTGTGTGTATATATTTGTACCTATGTATATGTATGCGTATACACACATGCACAAGTAAACATGTATGGATACTCATACCTAACTGAAAATAATATACAGTGAGCTTCTAGAATCTGTCTTTAATCCCTCTTCAGAAAGAAAGAAAGAAACACTTAGGCAGATATGATTACAAGAAAGGTTTAATTCCAGATCCAACCTTACACAGTGTTGTGGCCCCAATACTGCATCTGCTCATGTACAACTCTGCACTGGAATGGTCATTGATTTGTAGTAGGTTGGCTATATCAACCAGAGTTTGGGTAATTTATCCATTGGTGATCTTTCACAATTCATTCATTCATTCTCTCACTCAACAAATATTTATGATGCATCCATTACATGCCAGGCATTGTTCTATCAAGTTGTAGGGATACAGTACATATCTCTGCCTTTATGAAGCTTACATTCTTGCAGTATATAGATGAGTAAATAAATAAGCAAATAAGCAAATCTTAGATCAAGAAGCATGAGGCATGATAAAAAAGAACAGGGAGTGAATGGAATGGCAAGTGGGGTACACAGAACTTTATATTTTATAGAGAGTAGGCAGGAAGAGATAATGTTTGAGCAGAGACCTGCAGGGAGTAGGGAGTGAGCCATGCTAACAGACTTGTTCCAGGCAGAAACAGTGAAATGCAAATAGACGCTTTGGACCCAAGGTCTCTATTTCACAAGGTGGATTTCTATAACTCTAGCTATAATTGTTCCTAATTTTCTTTTTCATTTAACAAGGATGGGAAATGTAAACAGCATTTGTTTACCCCCACTGCTTGCATTCTATAGAATGCCCACTCCCAGAGACAGCCCGTCCACTTCAGCTATTCATTCTGTTTGTTAGAGGTCTCTGTCTTTCCCTGTTTCTCCTTCACCTTTGTTTTAGGAATAGGAGGGATTCTCTAGCTCCTGAAATACTCATAAAAAGGGTCAATTTTCAAGTTTAGCACACCTTGAAAAAAATCATCCTCACTATACCTGTTATTGACTCTATAACATGTTTCTAAACACTTTCTGTTTTACTCTATTAAATATTATTTCATTTATTCATTCCATGGGTATCTTTGTTTGAGCTATGCTTAATCTCAATTCTGTGAATACCTCCAAAATCTGCTAAAAGAAAATTACGGCATCATATGTGGGGCACCTTGCATATGACCACTTGTCAAAGAATAAAATATAGAAAACCAAATTAATAGAGAAAACAGTCATGTTATCTAATTATCTGTGAAATTCTTGGAGCAGATTGTTTAAACATAAGTTAACAAACATATGATACCACCTTACCTACTAATTTTGCAAAAATTATAAAATAATGATGCCATCAAATCCTATCCACCTTGTCATTGAATTACAACTGTAGTTAAATTACTGGTGTAAAATGATAAAAGTCATTTGATAAGCAGTTTGATAATGTTTAAACAACCAAAAAAGCATTAATACTTTTTGATCTAGTAATCTCATTTCCAGAAACTTACTCTAAATGTATATGAAAATGTTTCTTGAATGTTATTTATTATAGTAAAAAGTGGAAGGGACCTAACTAACCAAGAAAGGAATGGTTAAGTAAAATGTAGCATATCAACTCAATTAATGGTGTTTAATGATTAAAAAGGAAAACATTTAAGATATGTAAGACTGAGGTATAACTGAAAAAAGCAGACAGAAGTGTAACTTTTGTATAAAAATCTATTTTTGTATAAAAATGTATCCAGATAGATAAGTACTTCAGTGAAAATGAAAAAAATGAAAACTATTAATTTGTTAGAAATGGGTGACAGGTAAATGTGTATATCATTAATATATATTAAGGCTACATGTAGCATATCTTTATAATAATACATATTAAAATGTTATTATTGCTTTAATATTACTTATACATTTAAAAATATAATTTTAATGGCAAACAAATTGTTCATCAACTCTGTGAAATTGTATTAGATGGTGATGTCCTAGTTTTGCAAAAATTTGTCACGATATCTTTAAAACGACATCCATCTCATCTTATGTAAAGATTCCAGGGCTCTTAACTATGTTAAATCACATATTAAGCATATTTTCTCATTTCTCCAAATTCAAGATTTTAATTCTCTTTAATGCCCTATTTTTAATTAGAATGTTGCTAAATCCGTTGACAGTCTTACCAACTATTTTAACAGCCTTTTAATTTGTCATCTATAAAATAATAACTCTTCATTAACTTTGGGAGACACAGCATTGCAGTTGTGATATATCATTCCTCATTTTATTAACAACCTACTTAATGAAATTCAGGCTTCAAGCAGATGATAGTGATAATGTAAGCACTTGCCCTGGATTTGTTTTTTTTCCTTAACAAAATTAAGAATTTACTGATAAGCATAATAGAAGAACAAACATTCAATTCTGTAGGAATGCAGGTGGGAAAAACCTAAAAAAGAGATTTTGGAGCCCACACTTGTATAATTAATATTCATATCAGTCCTTTCCAAAATGCCCAATTTCCTTCCAACATTATTTGCCACTCTATATGGCAATGCTGAGAGGATATGTTAGTCATTCAACATTTATAAACATAACCCTTTTGTATCGGGGTGGGGGATGACATAATCCGGTAGAGGGTCTTGCTGAGCATGAAAATGAGACTCGGGACAGGGAATAGGTGGAGGAGAAAGGACACTTATTTTGAGGACATCTGGACGTTCTTTACTCCAAATGGGATTGATTCACCTTTATTTGTACATTTAAACATAGTTGCAGTTTTCTCTCACCAGAATTTTCTTACTTTAGTACTAATTATTTGGAATTAAAATGACTACATATATTCAAGGATCTACCAAGTCAGTTGAAGAGCAAGAACTGAGTCTACATAGAGGCAGAGATAGAGTGAATGATGGGAGAAGGGCAATCATTTATGCCTCTTTTGATCTCATTTTAGGGGAGGAAATGGAGGCTTAAGGTGAATAAGTGACTTGCCAAGTGAAGTACATTGGTGTCACAGACTTAATAATAAATGCTATAGGCCATATAGACATTTGGTCCATCTCCCTGGTTCAAATGGTTCTCCTGCCTCAGCCGCCTGAGTAGCCGGGATTACAGGCACACACCACCACACCCAGCTGATTTTTGTATTTTTAGTAGAAACAGGGTTTCACAAATTTGGTCAGGCTTGTCTTCTCCTGAGCTCGTGATCCACCTGCCTCGGCCTCCCAAAGTGCTGGGATTATAAGGCGTGAGCCACCGCTCCTGGCCCATATTAGTGTATTTTATGTATGGCCCAAGACAATTCGTTTTCTTCCAATATGGCCCAAGGAAGCCAAAAGATTGTACACCCCTGGAATTCTTGCATCATGGTCTGAAGAACATAGATGCCAAGAACAGAGAAAATTGAGCCAAGAGTCAAGGTCAGGCTGGGCACGGTGGCTCGCACTTGTAATCCCAGCATTTTGAGAGGCCAAGGAGGATGCATCACTTGAGGTCAGGAGTTTGAGGCCAGCCTGGCCAACTTGTCGAAACCCCGTCTCTACTAAAAGTACAAAAATTAGCCATGAGTGGTGGTGCGTGCCTGTAATCCCAGCTACTTGGGAAGCTGAGGTGGGAGAATTGCTTGAACCCAGGAAGCAGAGGTTGCAGTGAGCTGAGATCACACCACTGCACTCCAGCCTGGGTGACAGAAGGAGGCTCCATTTAAAAAAAAAAAAAAGAGTCAAGGTCAAGGTTTCATGAGGGCAGGGCTATCCTGTCGCTTGATTCTGCTTTGCCAGGGTCCGGTCTGGAAGGGCATGTGCTGAACCCTCCGAGAACACTGCAGTTTAGACCAACAAATTTGAGCAGCATCACACAAAACTAAAGAGATAGTTATGAAAGATAACTGTGGAGAGAAAAAGCATCTCTCACAAGTTTTTTTTTTCTTTTGTTCAGGTTTATGTAGCAAATGTTATAACACACTGAGTTTAATTTTCACATAAGACCAATTTTTCCCATAGGAATCAGAAATCATTTCTTTTTTTTGTTCGTTTCTCATATCATGATACAGCCCTCCCTAGGAATGATTTGTTGTATAGGCAGAAAGCTTCCCACAGATACATCGAAAATGAGACAGAAAAGGAAGTCCTGTCTGTGTCTCTTGACTCCATTTTTTTTGTTCTGGGAATGTCTGCTTTGGACTATGATGCAAGAGCTCCTTCTGACATGAACTCTAAGCAATATTTGACAGCCGGGGCAAGTGGAGACTAACAGTAGACCAGACCAGATTGCTATAAAGCATTGTATTTATTGTTCTAATGGTCACCTGATTAAAACACATCACATCTGTCAAATCATGTGATGGTATGCACAAACTCTTTAAATAATAGTTTAAAATTATGATGTTATGTATGTTCATGAACACAAATATATAAGTACATGTTTTATTGTGTTTAATATGTGTAATATGTTACATGTGATTTATATAATATATATCTAACATACGTATATTTATGCACATATGTGTATGTATACAACAATATATGCATATGGTCAAGGGAAAACAATTAAGCCTGTGATTATGCTTACAACTCCAGATTTCCTAGGATGTAGTCCTCATGATGCTATTGCAAAGAAATTGAGGTTTAAGGGATAGTCATATGACCTTAAAAAATTCCCCCTTAACTAGGCTCCAGATAAAATGACATAAGATCCCTACATTCATACAATTTAAAATTGGTTTAACAAAATATCATTACAACAGAATGATGCATTTCAGAATATGATATAAACGGATTGTTGCATATGTGGCTGAAAAATTTAGAATATGATTTGTAAGTAAAATTTAAATTTTGTCTTAAAAAGCATTTTTGATTTTAGATGCATGCCCCAAACATTTATACCTATATCAAAACCTGGCCTACTCGTTCTTTTATTACCTCTCCATTAGCATAATTTTAAATACAGATGTATTCTGAAGAAATGAGTGACATACACAAAGATTTATGTAAAAGATGTTCACTGAACTATTATAATATGAAAAACGCACGAAAACTAAAATTCCATTGGGAAAAAGATTAGATGGAAAGTACAGTGTGATATATCCATATGACAATGCCACATCATTGTTAAAGAAATCATATTCCAGAAGAACAATTTAAGGAAAGCATTCATGACAAAAGTAAAATGAACAGAGTAGTATATAAATAGCACATATAATTCCAATTTTGAAAATACATTCCACATACACACAAACAACTCAAAGGCTGGGAAATAAATATGCCAAAATGATAAAAACAATTGCTATTCAGCAGTAAAATGATAGGCTATTTTAATTTTCTTCTTTATACACTTATTATTTCCAAATTCTTTAAAATGGATGTGAATTATTTTTATAACCAGCAAAAAGGAGTACAGCGCAAAGTAATTTAAAAGACTCTTTAAAGACTAATCCTTCAAATTACCTAAAACCTCATCTGGCACCTGTCCCCTGCTCCTCAATGAAGCTCGGTTATGCAGTCATGTTCAAATGTCCAGTGTCCCCTAAGCCCTGGACCAAGCCAAGTGCTAATGAACATGCTATTTTCCCAAAGTAAACAGTGAGATGAGGACAGGCTCTGAATACTGAGCACTGTATGCTAGATATTTATTGTAATTATTAATAACACAATATTTTGATCTAGAGGATGCTTAATAAAATAAGAATAAACTGGGTTCATACTAAGTCCCTAGCTGTTGCAGGTTCATTTAGGTCCCAGCATAACCATTATTTACATTTAGTATAAACTAATTTACTGTTATTGTCATTTTTATTAACGTCATCAATTCCTCTGATTCATTTTCACACATTCCAGGGGAATTAACAACACTAATTTTCCAGCCTATAACTTGTATGTAACAACCAAGCCTGGTGTATATCTCTCAGACAAAATTAATTCTTTCTTATTTTAGTTGTTTCAGGTTCAATCCTGATCAAATGAAATTTGAAACTCTATTTGTTGTTTTTTTTGTTTTTTGTTTTTGTTTTATTTTGTTTTTTCCTGAAACACAAAACCTCCTACACAGGAGTTACTGCAACTGCATCAAATGAAAGGCAAATTCATGTATTTATTAAGTTTTCTCTGAAAGAAACACATTATATCCAAGGGTGAAAATGCTTTTTTCTTTTTTTATTTTTTGAAAAAAACAAGTGCCAGGTGATAGCATCAATAAACACTAGCACTGTGTACTCTAAGGAGGACTTTCTACAAATGTTTGTAAACGCTCCTTTTGGCTCTGAATAAAGCAATATACTGGGACAGCCACAGGAGCATGAGTGGAGCTGTGAGAAGCTATAATCCGAATATGCTAAGAAAATGTAAGCAAAAAATTGCAAATAAAACTGCTTATATTCATGTAACTTGTTTGGCGACAGCCGTAGAGCATAAGGAAAGCTGCTATAACTCATAACAGCATCTTGTAATAAAACAGCTCTATGCATCCCTCTCAAACTGCTCAGTGCTCACATCTCATCAGATGGCTGAGTAAGCACTACGCTTTGGGACAGTAAATCTGTTTCCAATATGGTCTACATTCACAGATACGCGCTTTAGTATTCACCCGAAGACACTTCCAGCTAAGTACTTATAAAGAAAGGGTAATCATATATTTAAATATCAGGATGCTATTTTCTCTGTCTATTTTAGTAATCTAGTTCACACTAGAGCAAACCTAACTGGATCTCAGGAAACCTTCAGCAAACTCAACTCTGACTCGCAGCACAAAATCTCTCCTACAAGGGTCTCCGGGAAGCCTTGGCTTCTCCTCCCATAATACCGTGCTTTTGTCTACCAGGTCATTTCTCTATGGTATTGGCATAATAAGACTCTTTTAGCCTCTCCTGGAGTAGCTTGTGGGTTTCCTGAGAGCATGGACTACCTTCTTAGCATCTGTATCCCCAGCTCCCAAACAAAACTAGGGACAAAATGAACCTTAAGTGTTTTTTGACAAGAGTGATCTCCTGCGGCTTATAGTCATAGCCTGGTTTTGAGGTTCTAAAGCCTTTCCATAGCCCTAAGGTTTGAAAGGGGTGAGGATAAAGCACATAGCAGAGGTTTTTCCAGCTGTTTGCAGACATTCGTTTTTCTGAGGGGTTCATCTTGGTTTGAGCTTTGGGAGAGATTGCGTCTATTCTATAGATGTTCCTTGGCTTAACGAATAAACCCATCATACGTTGAAAATATGTTCAGTCAAAAGTGCATTTTCGACTTACGATATTCTCAATGTACAATAAGTTTATCTGGACTTAATCCCATCCTAAGTCAGAAGTGTGCTGAATGCATATCGCTTTTGCATCATAGTAAAGTAGAGAATTGTAAATCAGGGACCACGTTGCAGTATCAACCCAGTGGGGTCAGAGAAAGGGAGAGCGGCCATCTTTGTTCTTTCCATTCTTCTTTCTGGTATCATATTCAAAGCAAACTTACCTGCTTCAGTGTAGGGATACAAAATAGGAGACTTCCTAGAGAAGACAAGGATCATTCTATAGGAAGGTGATTTGTGATTTGTTTTTTGTTTTGGATTTTTTATCATTTAAACCTCCCCCCCACCCACCCCACCAAACACACACAATATAGATAGAGATTGAAGTCCCTACAAAATTAGGTAATTCACAACTCCAGGCAATTCTAGTGATACTTTTATTAAGTGTCAAGGTTGGGCGTTGATGATTCTGAGCTCTGAGCAGGAATGCCCTCCCTAACCTTCACCCCCAAAATGGTTTCCCTTTGTTCGTCTCCAACGTGGTAGTTTTGTATGTGTGTCTTCACGTTAGAAACTAGAGAAATGGAAACACTGTGGTCTCAATTCTAAGCTTAATCCTTGGCAGACTTCATTTCTTAGAGAGAGAACACCACGAGCAGAGCCCGACAGCATATTTATATGAGGAACATGGTGAGATTTGGGCCACAAGCAATGCTGCATCCAGCCAAGTGATAAGCAGAATTCACAGCTGGAAAGATGTTGGCCCTCTTTCTGGGTGAACACAGGCTGTCTCTGCTGGGCAGTGCGGCCTGAGGGGAACACAGCACTCTTGGAGGCTGCTGGATTCAGTCTCCTGGGCTGAGACAGCACATCTCACAGGAGGTCCCTGTCAGTGCATAATCATGTCTGAGCACAAGACGATTTTCTAATAGAGCTGAGGAGTTACAAAGTAATTTAGGCATTTCACCCACAGTAAAAATTTGGTGCTAATAAACACTCTTTACAACGTATTTTGTCATCAATGAACTTCACCCCTAGAATAATACTGGGTGTAGGAACTTTGTCTAGGATACCAATTGTACAGAAGATGACTCTGGCCCACAGAGACTTGTCTGAGACTTGTCCCATGTTGCATGGCTCACCGTGATCAGGATTAGGCTTAAAGTTAGGTCATCCTGCTTCAAATTCTGTGCTTTTCTACTGATTTTAAGTGTTTCAGAAAATCTGAGTTGCTGAAAGATTAGTGCAGAGGAATGAGTGAGGAAGGAGGCAAGAGGTGGAGAGACGGGTGTCTGGGTTCCTTGGCAGGCCAGGACTTTGACTTACTCTGATCCTTTCTCTCTATTCACACAGGAAACAGCAGGAGAGAGACAGCGGATGAAGAGGTCTAGGCAAGGATGGGTGAGGACGCAGTAAGGAGCTGAAAGCTGCACCAGGCAGAGAATGGCCCACCCCATCACTTAACAAGGGTGAGGAGGTGACTAGGGTCTCCTTTTGTTCAGAGAAGGGAAAGGAGCTAGCCACAAAAGATAGCAACAGCAAAGAGAGCCAAGGACCACAGTCCCAGTGTTAACATTGTATGGATACTGGAGAGCAAAGGAGAGAATTTCCGGCTCGTGCTTTCTACTTTTCTTTACTCTTGCTAAAATAAAAACAGATTTTTCTTTTTTTACTTAATGTGAATCTCAACTCTGAATTTAGGGGAAGGAACAATGGACCTCACCAGCAGGTGATGTTGCTGAATGAATACTGAACTGGGCGGTGGGAGTTAGGGTTCTTGCTCTAAATTTAGGAGCTTATGTTACTTTGATCACCACCTAAGCTCCCTGAGTCTTAGTTTCCTCATCTGTCAAATGAGTGGCTTGAAACAGATGGTCCCTAAAGGTTTGTTCGGTTCTGATATTCGGTGGTCGTGGCATTTTTGAGAGTTTCCATACCCTCATCCTCTATGGTTTCCAGAGAAATAGCATCTGTCACATCAATGACACACCATTTGTATCCCTCCCTTTATTTTTCTCCTGCTAAGGTGTTTTAATCCTGACAGTATAATAGAATAAATCACAGACATCAGAGATGGGAGTGACACTGGCCACACACATTAGAGATAAACAGTCAAAAATCGCTCACCCGTGCCTTCCCCTTTGCCCACAGCCTCTGCTGTCTGACAACACTAAGCTTGAACTACAATTTCCATCTGGCTGCACAGATCTGAGCACCAAAATAGCCCTCTGCATTGTCTTAATAGCTGTAATGATACTCTGCCTTCCAGCAGCCTGCCTGTCCAGACCATCTCAACACACGGATTTGATTTCTTCCCTCTGGCCAGTGTTGCGGGGAGTATGGTTTTCACATAGTCAGTCAACAGACTTTCTTGCACCTAAGATCACCAGCCACTGGAGTGCAATAGCTTGGGTTTGATTCTCTTTCCAGCCCTTTCATACAAGTTACCTGCACTTGGTCAAGTAACTAACCTCTCTAGGCCTTGGTTGTCCTTAGCAGAGTGATGATTTTCATGTACCAACTTTACAGGGAATAGTGAGGCATACAGTTAATATTCAGTAAATATTATTCAGTTATTAACATTATTGCTACAAGTCTTCTGTATCTGTGTTAGAGAAAGAGGGTATTATGGTGTTACAGAATTGGGAAAACGAATGATGGTGACAGAAAGTTCCAGAAAGACACAGTTCCCAGAATAATTGGTGTGGGGACTATATAAATGATACGAATAGTTGATTTTAATGATGAGCCCTTATCCACTGTTTTGTTTTGTTTTCTTATCACTTGGCTTAGCTGGCATCCCCGCATCTATCTGTTAAAGCTGCCTGTGAACAAGAAGCTGTGATGTTCCGTACAACCAGGGATGTGTGGGTTTGTGGACAACAGACGATTTTCTAGTTGTTGTTTTTTTTTTTAAGATTCTTTCCCCTTACAGAAAAGGGGCTCTGATACGCCTGAATTAAATCACCTTTCAAAAGCCAAGAAACAAATCATCGTCCCCTAAGGATGACTGAGGAGCAAGAAGCCAGTACTTACTGTGTGTCTCAAGCAAGCTGATAGAAGCTAGAGAAGACCATCTGGTTTGAGATAAAGTACAACAGTGCCGGACCCACTGCTCTGCTCCAGAAAGCAAGACTTACGGAAAAGGGCCACGATCTGATTGAAACGTGCTTTCATTGTGCTCCACAAAATAACCATTGCTCATATCTATAATTCTTACCGAATCGAATATAAGGAGCAGGCTACTGCCTTTAGCGTTTGAACAACTCCGAGTCTCCAAACTTCTGTCAGACCCACCAACACCTCTTCTAGATATTGGGATGCTGGTTCCCCTTAAGCAACCCTGGGTAGCTTTTGTTGTCCCTGTTTCCACTCTCACCATTTTTGCATTTGTTTCCCACTGAGAAGCCAGCGACTTCTTCAGTAATGTAAATTAGATTATATTGCTCTGGAACTAAACATCCTCCATGAAATCCCATTGTCCCCTTAGCTCTGCTGATCATAATCTCTCAACCTCAGTTATTCCATTTTTAAAATGGGGATATTATTGAATGGATACTTGTGAGGTGCACTGGAGGATCCCTGGCACCCAATGACGTACTCAATGCAGGGCATTATTGTTATCATTAACAAAACAAAACCTCTATGAAATAAGATGCCTTCTGTTCATTTCATCCCTGACATAGTCCATGAATAAAATGTGCCGAATCCCTGCCATAGAATGCTGAATGCTTTCAATTCTGTGAAGGACGGAAAACAAATAGCTTACAGTATTTGTTACCACATCATTTAAAGTTCTACGAATAATCATCCTCTTGAGATGTAAACTGAGATTGAACAAAAGTAACTTGTTCTCACAGATATTGTTTCTATATTTCCTGGTTTTTTAAGCAAGCTGTCTGAGTTTCCTGAGAAGGGTTGATAAAAAAGACCTTGTAAAGATGTTCTAAAATCTGAGGCTGAAACTATAGCATGTGTTATTATTACTGTTTTCGTTAGCCACTGAGTAAATATGCAAGGTGGGTGCTTATAGGATCTAGAAGAGAAACAAAATGCTTGTCAGCTTTCACTCAGGGATTGGCTAAAAATACACTGTGACATGCAGTGCACAGGTATGTCCTAGAAAGCTCTCACAGTGTCCAGACGGCAAAGCTGCAGCTCTGGCTTTGTTTGGCAACAAAGATCACTTAATCATACATGAGTGAGTGGGAGATTCAGGCAAACCTGAACGAAAAACCTTGCCTTCCAATATCCAGTGTCCTTCCCAATCTACCCTGGTAGGACAGAAATCGCACAGGGGGAAAGGTTGCCTTTTGGAGAGGAGGAAAAGAGGTATGGTGGTCAGGGATAGTGCAGGGAAGGGCCTTCAGACTGGCTATGATCCCTCTCCGTGCTCATGTATGATAGGATCCCCTGTTCAACAACTATTTATTAAATGTCACGTACATGGCAGTGTGGCTGGTTCTAAGGGAGATAGAAAGATGAGTGAGGCACTGTCTTTCAAGGAATTTACAGGGTATGTTTATAACTTCCTATTCTGCACTTTCTGAAATCTGAACTGACAGCTCTGAAGAGGGAAAAACAGTATCAGGTTTGCTAAGCATGTGTTTAGAAAACTCCCATGTACTCAAAACAATAACAGCAACAAAAAAATTCAACCAGGATACTCCATAATATTTTTGCAACTGTCATGTAAATCCAAAACTATCCTAAAATGAAAGGTTTACTAAAATTCTTTAAAAAAAACAAACAAACAATCCAAAAAGCAAAGAAAAAAAATCACACAGTTTCTTATGGAAAACAAAATAAGTTACAAATATTCCCTAAGTACCAAATCACGTCTGTAACTCAAGCTCAATGCCTTCTTTTTAAATCTACCATTTCCCAAGAAGTCCTGCACTACACATCTGCCCTATAGATAGTCTTGTTTTGTTCTACACAGTGACTTTTAAAAATGAATTAGCTGCCAAACGTCTTAACCCAATTTGTATTGAAAGGAGAGGCTGAGACTGAGGCTGTGAACAAGTAGTTTACTGGGGAAGCGATTCAGAAGAGCAAGAGTAAGGAACAGTGGCAGAGACAAGGAAAGGGAAAGCCAACACAAGGAAGAGTTATACAGTTAGCCACTGCCGTTGTGGGTGCCTAATCATGATGGTGCTGGACCTTCCCAGGAGCCTTAGGCTGTGCATCTCAGGATGAGGGGAAGAAGCATTTATCATCAGCTTCTTATCTTCTGGCTTCTGAACCCATCATTCAAGGAAGTCCCACAGCTGCTAACTTTCTGCACTTCATGGGTTGCGTATGTGTAATTGTCCTGGTCCTTAAGGGCATTTAGCACATTATTGTCAGAAAAATCTGAAGCCAGGATGTTGTGCCAAAAGCCTACTTAAACTGTTCCACAAGTGACCATTACAGAACCATTTTAAATCTGGGGATTTTATATAAAAATAAATCCAGATTGCTCAATTTTCTTGAGGAACTGGGAGATCTAGCAACTCTACACCTGAATTCCCTGGAAGCACCAACCTGCCAGCCCTGAGAGACACTGCCTGGCCATACAGACTTCAAATCAGAACAGTCCCCACCATGACGCATAGTTGACAACCTGGCCTATTTCCCCCGTTTATCTTACCTGCCTGGTCCTTGTGAGTATGGGACTTTTCACCTTTACTTAGCTATTCATAGTCTCGATACATATTCACATTGAAAAGGAGATACAGACCCACTGTCAGGCCTCTGAGCCCAAGCTAAGCCATCATATCCCCTGTGACCTGCAGGTACACATCCAGATGGCTGGTTCCTGCCTTAAATGATGACATTCCACCACAAAAGAAATGAAAATGGCCTGTTCCTGCCTTAACTGATGACATTATCTTGTGAAATTCCTTCTCCTGGCTCATCCTGGCTCAAAAGCTCCCCTACTGAGCACCTTGTGACCCCCACTCCAGCCCGCCAGAGAACAGCCCCCCTTTGACTGTAATTTTCCTTTACCTAACCAAATCTTATAAAACGGCCTCACCCCTCCCTTTGCTGACTCTCTTTTCAGACTCAGCCCGCCTGCACCCAGGCGAAATAAACAGCCTTGTTGCTCACACAAAGCCTGTTTGGTGGTCTCTTCACACAGACGCCCATGAAATTTGGTGCAGTGACTGGGATCGGGGGACCTCCCTTGGGAGATCAATCCCCTGTCCTCCTGCTCTTTGCTCCGTGAAAAAGATCTACCTACGACCTCAGGTCCTCAGACCCACCAGCCCAAGGAACATCTCACCAATTTTAAATCGGGTAAGCGGCCTCTTCTTACTCTCTTCTCCAACCTCTCTCACTAACCGTCAACCATCTTCTCCTTTCAATTTTGGCACCACCCTTCAATCTCTCCCTTCTCTTAATTTCAATTCCTTTCATTTTCTGGTAGAGACAAAGGAGACACGTTTTATCCATGGACCCAAAACTCCAGCACTGCTCACGGACTCGGGAAGGCAGCCTTCCCTTGGTGTTTAATCACTGCAGGGACACCTCTCTGATTATTTACCCATGTTTCAGAGGTGTCTGACCATGCAGGGATGCCTGCCTTGGTCCTTCACCCTTAGCGGCAAGTCCCGCTTTTCTGGGGGAGGGGCAAGAACCACAACCCCTTCTCTCCATGTCAATACCCCTTCTCCGCTTTTCTGGGCAGTAAGAACCCCCCAACCCCTTCTCCTTCACCCTTAGTGGCAAGTACCACTTTTCTAGGGTGCAAGAACCCCCCAGTCCCTTATTTCCATGCCCTGACCCCTTATCTCTGCACCCTGATCCTTTTCCACGCCCTGACCTCTTATCTCTGTGCCCCATCCCTTATTTCCACGCCCCGACCTCTTATCTCTGCACCCTGATCCCTTATTTCCATGCCCCGACCTCTTATCTCTGCACCCCAACCCCTTATTTCCCCACCCTGACCCCTTTCCTCCTTTTCTGGAGGGTAAGAACCCCCAAACCCCTTTCCTCTGTGTCTCTACTCTCTCTTTTCTCTGGGCTTGCCTCCTTCACTATGAGCAACCTTCCACCCTCCATTCCTCCTTCTTCTCCCTTAGCCTGTGTTCTTAAAAACCTAAAACCTCTTCAACTCACACCTGACCTAAAACCTAAATGCCTTATTTTCTTCTATAATGCCACTTGACCCCAATATAAACTCGACAGTAGTTCCAAATAGCCAGAAAATGGCACTTTCCATTTTTCCATCCTACAAGATCTAAGTAATTCTTGTCACAAAATAGGCAAACGGTCTGAGGTGCCTGATGTCCAGGCATTCTTTTACACATCAGTCCCTCCATAGTCTCTGTTCCCAATGCAACTTGTCCCAAATCTTCCTTCTTTCCCTCCCACCTGTCCCCTCAGTCCCAACCCCAAGCGTCGTGAGTCTTTCTAATATTCCTTTTCTACAGACCCATCTGATCTCTCTCCTCTTTGCCAGGCCGAGCTAGGTCCCAATTCTTCCTCAGCCTCCACTCCTCCACCCTATAATCCTTTTATCACCTCCCCTCCTCACACCCGGTCCGGCTTACAGTTTTGTTCTGTGACTAGCCCTCCCCCACCTGCCCAGCAATTTACTCTTAAAAAGGTGGCTGGAGCTAAAGGCATAGTCAAGGTTAATGCTCCTTTTTCCTTATCCCAAATCAGATAGCGTTTAGGCTCTTTTTCATCAAATATAAAAATCCAGCCCAGTTCATGGCTCGTTTGGCAGCAACCCTGAGACGCTTTACAGCCCTAGACCCTAAAAGGTCAAAAGGCCGTCTTATGCTCAATATACATTTTATTATCCAATCTGCTCCCAACATTAAATAAAACTCCAAAAATTAAATTCCAGCCCTCCAACCCCACAACAGGACTTACTTAACCTCATCTTCAAGGTGTACAATAATAGAGTAGAGGCAGCCAAGTGGCAACATATTTCTGAGTTGCAATTCCTTGCCTCCACTGTGAGACAAACCCCAGCCACATCTCCAGCACACAAGAACTTCCAAATGCCTAAACCACAGTGGCCAGGCATTCCTCCAGAACTGCCTCCCCCAGGAGCTTGCTACAAGTGCCAGAAATCTGGCCACCAGGCCAAGGAATGCCCGCAGCCCAGGATTCCTCCTAAGCCATGTCCCATCTGTGTGGGACCCCACTGAAAAATCGGACTGTTCAACTCACCTGGCATCCACTCCCAGAGCCCCTGGAACTCTGGCCCAAGGCTTTCTGACTCCTTCCCAGATCTTCTCGGCTTAGCGGCTGAAGACTGACGCTGCCCGATCACCTCGGAAGCCCCCTAGGCCATCACGGATGCTGAGCTTCGGGTAACTCTCACAGTGGAAAGTAAGTCCGTCCCCTTCTTAATCAATAAGGAGGCTACCCACTCCACATTACCTTCTTTTCAAGGGCTGTTCCCTTGCCTCCATAACTGTTGTAGGTATTGACGGCCAGGCTTCTAAACCTCTTAAAACTCCCCAATTCTGGGGCCAACTTAGATAATACTCTTTTAAGCACTCCTTTTTAGTTATCTCCACCTGCCCAGTTCCCTTATTAGGCCGAGACACTTTAACTAAGTTATGGGCTTCCCTGACTATTCCTGGGCTACAGCCACACCTCATTGCTGCCTTTTCCCTCAGTTCAAAGCCTCCTTCATATCCTCCCCTTGTATCTCCCCACCTTAACCCACAAGTATAAGACACCTCTACTCCTTCCTTATCGACCAATCATGCACCCCTTACCATCCCATTAAAACCTAATCACTCTTACCCCCCTCCATGCCAATATCCCATCCCACAGCACGCTTTAAAAGGATTAGAGCCTGTTATCACTCGCCTGTTACATCATGGCTTTTTAAAGCCTATAAACTCTCATTACAATTCCCCCATTTTACCTGTCCTAAAACCAGACAAGACTTACAGGTTAGTTCAGGATCTGTGCCTTATCAACCAAATTGTTTTGCCTATCCACCCCATGGTGCTAAACTCATATACTCTCCTATCCTCAATACCTCCCTCTACAACGCATTATTCTGTTCTGGATCTTCATCCCAGCCTCTCTTCGCTTTCACTTGGACTGACCCTGACACCCATTAGGCTCAGCAAATTACCTGGGCTGTACTGCCGCAAGGCTTCACAGACAGTCCCCTTTACTTCAGTCAAGCCCAAATTTCATCCTCATCTGTTACCCATCTCGGCATAATTCTCATAAAAACACACGTGCTCTCCCTGCTGATCATGTCCGACTAATCTCCCAAACCTCAATCCCTTACAAAACAACAACTCCTTTCCTTCCTAGGCATGGTTAGTGTGGTCAGAATCCTTACACAAGAGCCAGGACCGCACCCGATAGCCTTTCTGTCCAAACAACTTGACCTTACTGTTTTAGCCTAGCCCTCATGTCTGCGTGCAGCAGCTGCTGCTGCTTTAATACTTTTAAAGGCCCTAAAAATCACAAACTATGCTCAACTCACTCTCTACATTTCTCGTAACTTCCAAAATCTTTTCTTCCTCCCACCTGACACATATACTTTCTGCTCCCTGGCTCCTTCAGCTGTACTCACTCTTTGTTGAGTCTCCCATAATTACCATTGTTCCTGGCCCGGACTTCAATCCAGCCTCCCACATTATTCCAGATACCACACCTGACCCTCATGACTGCATCTCTCTGATCCACCTGACGTTCACCCCATTTCCCCATATTTCCTTCTTTCCTGTTCCTCACCCTGATCACACTTAGTTTATTGATGGCAGTTCCACCAGGCCTAATCGCCACACACCAGCAAAGGCAGGCTATGCTATAGTACAGGCCACTAGCCTGCCTCTTAAAACCTCTCATTTCCTTTCCATCGTGGAAATCTATCCTCAAGGAAATAACTTCTCAGTGTTCCATCTGCTGTTCTACTACTTCTCAAGGATTATTCAGGCCCCCTCCCTTCCCTACACACATCAAGCTCGAGGATTTGCCCCCACCCAGGACTGGCAAATTAGCTTTAATCAGCATGTCCCCAGTCAGATAACTAAAATACCTCTTAGTCTGGGTAGACACTTTCACTGGATAGGTAGAGGCCTTTCCTACAGGGTCTGAGAAGGCCACTGCAGTCATTTCTTTCCTTCTGTCAGACATAATTCCTCAGTTTAGCCTTCCCACCTCTATACAGTCTGTTAACAGACCAGCCTTTATTAGTCAAATCAGCCAAGCAGTTTTTCAGGCTCTTGGTATTCGGTGAAACCTTTATATCCCTTACAGTCCTCAGTCTTCAGGAAAGGTAGAACGGACTAAAGGTCCTTTAAAAACACACCTCACCAGGCTCAGCCACCAACTTAAAAAGGACTGGACAATACTTTTACCACTTTCCCTTCTCAGAAGTCAGGCCTGTCCTCGGAATGCTACAGGGTACAGCCCATTTGAGCTCCTGTATGGACGCTCCTTTTTATTAAGCCCCAGTCTCAGTCCAGACACCAGACCAACTCGGACTGTGCCCCCAAAAACTTGTCATCCCTACTATCTTCTGTCTAGTCACACTCCTATTCACCGTTCTCAACTACTCATACATGCCCTGCTCTTGTTTACACTGCCAGTTTACACTGTTTCTCCAAGCCATCACAGCTGATACCTCCTCGTGCTATCCCCAAACTGCCACTCTTAACTCTTAAAGTAAATAAATAATCTTTGCTGGCAGGACTATGCTGAATCTCCTTAGGCACTCTCTAATTAGATGCCCTGGGTCCTCCCAATTCTTAGACCTTTAATACCTGTTTTTCTCCTTCTCTTATTCCATTTAGTTTTTGGGTTTTTTGTTTGTTTGTTTGTTTTTTTGAGACGGAGTCTCGCTGTCGCCCAGGCTGGAGTGCAGTGGCACGATCTCGGCTCACTGCAGGCTCCGCCCCCTGGGGTTTACGCCATTCTCCTGCCTCAGCCTCCCGAGTAGCTGGGACTTCAGGCGCCCGCCACCTCGCCCGGCTAATTTTTTGTATTTTTAGTAAAGAAGGGGTTTCACCGTGTTAGCCAGGATGGTCTCAATCTCCTGACCTCGTGATCCGCCCCCCTCGGCCTCCCGAAGTGCTGGGATTACAGGCGTGAGCCACCGCACCCGGCCCCATTTAGTTTTTCAATTCATACAAAACCATATCCAGGCCATCACCAATAATTCTAAATGACAAATGTTTCTTCTAACAACCCCACAATATCACCCCTTACCACAAAATCTTCCTTCAGCTTAATCTCTCCCACTCTAGGTTCCCACGCCGCCCCAATCCCGCTCGAGGCAGCCCTGAGAAACGTCGCCCATTATCTCTCCATCCCACCCCCAAAAATTTTCCCCAACATTTTACCACTATTTCATTTTA
Source organism: Homo sapiens (assembly GCF_000001405.40). NCBI lineage: Eukaryota > Metazoa > Chordata > Mammalia > Primates > Hominidae > Homo > Homo sapiens. The sequence continues at coordinate 167,298,071 of NC_000005.10, read as the reverse complement.
TTTTTCTTATTAATATAAGAAGACAGGAATGTCAGGCCTCTGAGCCCAAGCTAAGCCATCATATCCCCTGTGACCTGCACGTACACATCCAGATGGCCGGTTCCTGCCTTAACTGATGACATTCCACCACAAAAGAAATGAAAATGGCCTGTTCCTGCCTTAACTGATGACATTATCTTGTGAAATTCCTTCTCCTGGCTCATCCTGGCTCAAAAGCTCCCCTACTGAACACCCTGTGACCCCCACTCCAGCCCACCAGAGAACAACCCCCCTTTGACTGTAATTTTCCTTTACCTACCCAAATCTTATAAAATGGCCCCACCCCTATCTCCCTTTGCTGACTCTCTTTTCAGACTCAGCCCGCCTGCACCCAGGTGAAATAAACAGCCTTGTTACTCACACAAAGCCTGTTTGGTGGTCTCTTCACATGGATGCGCATGAAACCCACTATTTTAACAGAATCTTTCCCTACTGACTTCATCTTTCAACATAAATGTAACTTGATCATTTTCTTCCAATAGTAGGTCCAGATTCATCATTACTGCTTTGACTTTGAAGACGTTGGATCAATTAACATAATCAACTGTTACCTGTTACATTCCAAGCCAGGTACTCAAATTAAAACCTCACTTTTAATGTTTGACACAATGTGGGCTGAGAAGCAGGGGTGCCAGAAGAATCAGTCCACCTGCTTCTTCTGACTCAGAAACAAGGAGATGGACTATGGCACCAAGGGCTTGCAATGCCTAATACACCAGCAAATGATTACTCGATAGTGGTTTAGAAACACTACATAATGAGCTTCGGTTATATTGCATTTATTAACCTAAACCCCTGAAGAATCAAAAGACTCTATTATGAGCTTCTGAGTGAAAAGTGAGATTCTAAGTCACTATGCTAAGTATGAGGTCCTATAAGCTTGAAATGTCATCAGTTACCAAAGAAATATTATATTCTATAGAGTATGTCCTTTTGCACTCAAATCCCTTGAGACATTTTATTTATATAAAGATTTGGTTTTAAAAAATGCTGATGCCTGGGTCCTCCCTGCCACAGATTGGGATTTAATTGGTCTTGGGTGAGACTAGGACATGCAGACTTTTCAGAACTGCCCAGGAGAGTCCAATGAGTCACCACTGGTCTAGAAACAAAAATGACATGGACTGTGGCCACAGTCATTGTCCCCTTACTGCTCAGCTAGGACAACTCAGCACTTTGCTGTAGCCTCCCTGCTGTTCAGTCTCTGGGTTTGTGAAACAGAAAGTGTTAACTGGGTCAGCTCTTTGCAGAGCTTTTGCAGGGCAGACAAATGGAGTCAGAGTGCAAGCATTAAATGAAATGTCACTGTAAACTAGGAAGAATTTGAACCCAAAGCTGCCGCCAGGCAAACAGGGGTCTTTTGACAGCTGTTGGTGTCACCTGAACTTGCAGTCATTTTGAGAGGGATTTGTTTGGCCTATGGATACTTATCCTGCAGTTGACTGGATTTTATTTATTTATTTTCTTTCTTTCTTTTTTTCTTTTTGAGGACATTAAAGTAGTATGCCTCCCTTCCATCAATGCTCCAGTTGCAGCCAATATGTCCATTGAAACTAACTTAACTCGCTGGAACTACTCTCTAAATAAATTCACCATTTTGGTTCAAAGTGCTACAAACAAATTCAGTGCTTTCATTCCCCGTACATGGATCCGACTTTAACTGCACAAGGACAGAAGGAGAAGCACATATTATGAGGTGGCAGTGGACATGTGGGAATTTGAAAGAAAGTGCTTCAGACTATTTTTAAACTGAAATGTATCCCACTGGGACCGCAATTGCCCAGTGCCGACTATTCATAAATCAGGGTGAACACAAAGAGGCTTCACATTTTGTGGGTCTGGCCGAAGAGAAAGATCTGGGAAAGGAAGGAGAATCACAGATTTAGTTGAGTGAGAATGCATCAGAGCCCATCTGACTTTTCTCTGTGTTTTGTGTTTTTTTTCTTTTCCCCCCTCATTCTTGAAAAGATTTTTCTGTCTTGGAGAAAATGCATTAAACATAATGCTGATAGTACCTTTGGTAAAATATTCCAAATGTTATAAAAGTCTGTTGGACCTTATTAAATAAGTCTATATTACACTTATTTTTAATATTGTGGTGCACACTCAGTATTTGTTCTGATCATTCCCAGCAGAGATTTATTACTAAAGTAGATCTGACTTGAGGTTGAGTGGAAAGGAAGGCAGTCAGTGCAGGAGGAATATTGAGTAACTTGGTGGTGTGAGAGAGTTTGGCTGCAGCAGAGAAAAAGGGAGCTTGTGAGATGTGCATGCCAATTAAGGTGCTCAAGAAATGAACATGTATTCATTTCGAGTACACGCTAGCCCCTTCCTCTTCATATGTCCCTAGGGATGCTTCTGGAATTGCCAGAGCTGAAAATTAAATTATAAACCTAAAACATGACATTGAAAATGTAATGTCTCCTTTGATAATATCAGTGTGATGATTCATCAGTGGGTGGGGCAGTGCCACTCCTGGACACAGATTGTAAAGCATGGTAAGGCTGATCCTGGCAATTCTTCCGTCTCTCACTGTGCAGTTTTCCCAAAGGTTCTGGTCAGAAAGGCATCCCTGCACAGATCACATATGCACCAAAGCCCTCCTATACATACCGCAGAGTAGACAGCTGCAGAGACTTAACTGCAACATGTGGCACCAGCCAAGAGAAGCTGATAATATTGCATCACCAATAATCAGAAAAAGGAACTGTTAGTGCAACTCAACATGCTAGTGTCAGAGTAAATGGCAGAAAAGTTGTAAGTTGGCATTTCAAAATGTGAGATTTGACATTGTCATGCTGGACAGACATACCATCCACATTTTCTAAGTAGAGTCTGTTTCTGAGCTGTGCTTTCCATTTTTCTCATTAGAACAGGAAACAAGCCACTAAAAAGAGCAAATTCCCTGGTAGTTGCATCTATGAGTCAGAGCACAAAACTGCAGAGCCCTTTGTTTATTTCCCTATTCATAGGAGTCATAGAATCCATGTGCTATGTATGCTGAGTCACTCATCAAGAGAATAATAACAACAATAACAACCCATTAAGGGCTATAAAAATTCAGAGGGCAGGAAGCTTCACCAAAGACGTGAACCACAGGTCACACCCTGTGGGATGAATAGATTTGCAATAGGCAGAGAGGTATTCCACAAGAAAAAAATAGACATAGGAAGATCCGTGATATTTTTGCAATTGTGAGAGCTTTCAGAGGTTTGGCATATAAAATAAAGGCCTGAGAGGAATAGGACTGGTGTAAGACAGAAGGCAGAAACGGGGCCTGTGGCAAACTGAAATGTGAATAGACTGGCACTTGATTCAAAATTCTAAAGAAATCCATAGGCCAAATAAAACCTATCTAGGGGCCGAATATGTCCTATGTACATTAATTTTGTGGCCTCTGATTTAGGGGACATAAAGGAGGTCAACTCTGAGTGGTGGGATGGGGAATAAAACTCGCCCTGTGGAATGACAGGTCAAGTTTGCACTGAGTGAATAGCACATGTAAAGGAAAGTAAGGTGTTCTTTTTTTTCCCCCACTTGTTTCACAGGATTTTCTTCCCCTTCCTATTCCTTGAGTACCTGCACTGTCATGTGAACTTCTTATTTCTCTTCCTTGTACATTTTTTTCTCAGATGATCATACCAAGTCCCATGAAATTATTAGCTGTCAACTGCTAAATCTTTATCCAGCTCAAGCCTCTCTCCAGAATTTCAAGACTGGACAGCCACAGCCTATTAGACATCTGCACATGGAGAGCCTACAGGATACCTCCAATTCAAAAGGTTGACAGTTACCTATCCCATCTAACCCACAAACCAGGCCATCCTCTGTCTCAAGCCCTGGGGATTGATGGTAACATCTTGTCAGTTGCCATAACCAGAAACTTCAGGGATGTCCTTGACTTTTCTTTTTTTGCTTAGCCTGCTTACCCCATCAGTTGCAAGAAAGTATTGTTTCTATCTTCCAAACGTACTCAGCTTTGCAAATAAAGTTACCATTGGCAGGGATAAAACACACACTCAGTTGAACACACACACACACACACACACACACACAGAACTCACATCTACTTAGAGTCTCTGATTTATTTAGTCCATGATAGAGAACAAACAATGGTATCATGGTCCACACAGAGAAGGGGCAGATGCAGCATAATCTCTTCTCTATTTTTTCCTTGCCTGGGATCCGTATGAAGTGCTCTGTAGCTGGTGCTACCCTTTGCATAGGCAGGAATCTAACAAATTTTAAAAAAAAATCCAAATTTTTGTTGCAACACTACATTTTTTATACTTAGGTTTATGTCCAACATTCCAGAAGAACCTGAACTAACAATCTATGTACTTCCACTTAAGGGGTTATTTGCAAGCGTTGACCTTTCCTGGCTCTTTAAGTAAACTCAGCATCAGAAAGGCAATATTCTCTTTCCAAGAGAAAAAAGCAGTCAATGCCCAGGAGTCTCAGAACAGTATATCTGCCTCCACTTTTAAGGTATCCTAAAAAGCCAACAATCAGGGGCCAGGTGCGGTGGCTCATGCCTGTAATCCCAGCACTTTGGAAGCCCGAGGCGGGTGGATCACCTAAGATCAGGAGTTTGAGAACAGCCTGACCAACATGGAGAAACCCCGTCTCTACTAAAAAATACAAAAAAAAAAAAAAAAAAAAAATTAGCCGGACATGGTGACGCATCCCTGTAATGCCAGCTACTTGGGAGGCTGAGGCAGGAGAATCGCTTGAACCTGGGAGGCGGAGATTGCTGTGAGCAGAGATTGCACCATTGCACTCCAGCCTGGGCAACAAGAGTGAAGCTCTGCCTTAAAACAAACAAACAAACAAAAAAGCCAACACTCTTTTTATCTCAATAACATTTCTCAAACAATCTCTGCTATCCTAGTTCAGGCCACCAGGCTCCCTTGCTTAGATGAAGACACAACCTCTAACTGACCATCTTTCCTCTCTCCACAAGCTGAAACCAGCACTGTCTCCCTGAAATGTCTTCATGACTGTCTCTCTCTGCCACTCTAGCTCATCCAACCTACACTTCTTTGACATCCTTGGAACAACAAAATGTAGTCACCTCTGGGCCTTTGCACATGCCATGACTCTTGCCTGAACACTGTCTTGCCTCTTTGATTGTCCAACCTCCTCCCCATCCCTCAAATGTATGCAGGAATGCCACAATTTCTGGGATGCCATTCCGGACATAAATCTGGGTTAGAGGTCTCTCCAAAACCATCCAATATTATCCCTTTTGTAGTGTTTTTTATAAGGTACCTAGTTACATATCTGTTATATCTTACCATTTTAAAACTGCCAGGTTCTGTGAGGTTAGAAACCATGTTTACCTTTTTTTATTGTTGTGTCCCACAAATTGCAGTTGCCTTTTAGGAACCCCTGAAATATTTTTGAATCAATTTGAGGGAAGTGGGAAAAATAAGGCCGTGTTTTAAAAACTCAAAACTATCCATGTTATGGAAAACATGCCAGAGGAAAGAATTAGGGAAGGAGGCGATTGAAATGCTCAAGCAATTGTCCAGTGTTGAAATATTGGAAGCTGCCCATGGAATGAGAAACTTGAAACTGAGATAAATGAAGCAGGAATAATAGGTGTGATGTGGTAAACATCAATATAAAGGATCAAGAAAAAAGAGGCTTGGAAGACTTTATCTAAAATGCAAGGCTGTGATACCATTCCCCAAAGCTGAGAAATGAAAAACGGAAACAAATTTTGAGGGAAAGACAATTAAATTTCCCACTTGGATATGTAAAGATAAAATATTCCAAGGCCCAGTAGCAAAGTGGATGTGAAGCTTATAATATGGTTTGGCTGTGTCCCCACTCAAATCTCATCTTGAATTGTAGCTCCCATAATCCCCATGTGTGATGGGAGGGACCTGGTGGGAGGTAATTGAATCATGGGGGTAAGTTTTTCCCATGCTGTTCTCATGATAGTGAATAAGTCTCATGAGATTTGATGGTTTTATGAAGGGCAGTTCCTCTGTACAGGTGCTCTTCCCTGCCGCCATGTAAGATGTGCCTTTGCTCCTCCTTTGCCTTCTACCATGATTGTGAGGCCTCCCAGCCATGTGGAACTGTAAGTCCATTAAACCTCTTTTTCCTTATAAATTACCCAGTCTCAGGTATGTCTTTATTAGCAGTGTGAGAATGGACCAATACAGCTTAGATAGACTACAGAAAGGAAGCCTTAAACTTCAGCCTCACTAGCATTAGGAGCATTTGTTATCAGGCCAGTTAGTGTTTACAGTCTACTGCAGCTATCAGAGTCTTTCTTTCCTGTGCGGAATTCATTCCATCAGGTTTAGGAGGCACTCACTGTAAGCTATCTCCAAGCACAGGATAAACCTACATCCAAGATGTGGCCAGCTACAGCCGTAAAATGGTAGATATAGGTATCATCAGCATGTGTCCCATGCCAGGCCAGCCTGAATATCTACCTGGAGAATATTCTGCTGAAAACAGCAAAATAAACCCCAACCATATATATAAACAAGGGACTCTTTCCAGTGATGTTACCAAATGAGAAAATGTGAGAGTGGGGGTAATCAGCAGACATCTTCAAAGAGATCGCTCCAAAGAATAAAGCCAATATATGAGAATGAGAATCTTGTGAGAGATGATAAGTGTGAGGGCAGATGCTTTCTTAGATTACTGGTGATGTCTGCCAAAACATTACCCTTTCAAGTAAGCTAATTTGAACTGGGATACTATTGTTTGTAAATGAAAAAGTTTTCAGAAGCAGAAATAGTGGCCACTGAAGTCATATGAATAAGAGTGTTCTAAAGAAAGTGCTATGGAGAAGAAGAGTATAGGATTAGGGTGAAACTCTGGGGAATTTCCACTGAGAAAGAGCAGGAGAAGGAAGGTAATTCAAAGAAAGTTAAATATAAAGTTGAACACAGAATTGACAATAGATAATTACTGGGAGGATAACAGTTGGGCAAACATGAAGATAGTTGCCAAATGGCTAAAGTTATCAAAAAATATAGACATATTCCTAGAAGGGTAGTAAGCATCAATGATGAAAATCCAAAACATTGACTCTCTGACATAGACTCCAAATTATTGCCCATAAAGTGACGAAAATGGATTAATTTTATCCAGCATTTATATGGATTAAATCTACTCTTAAACTCATTTCTGAAATATGTATGGATTTACATGCCATAAAATGCACACTTAAAAAAAGTGTTTGTATCCTATGACACTACCTTAGAGCAGTTTTTCCAATCTATTTTTTTTTTTTTTGACTTGTAAAATTGTCTGACTAGCAACTCTCTTACAGTGTGTTGGCATCAGTTGACAGTTGTTAGATAGTATCTTTCATTCCTGTCTAAAAATAGGAAAATAATGTATGAGTTATGTTCATCTTTGGGAAAGAAATGTATGGTGGATAGAGAGTCAGACACACTCTATGAACAAGCTGGAAAAAAGTTCTGAGTTTGAAAATGTCAGAATTTTTGCAAGTCATGGGAAACAAATCAAGAGGAAAGAAAAATTTCTGTTGCACCAAAGTATTATTAGGGTCGGAGAGCAAGTGATCGCCACTTCTGCTGGTAGTAGGGTTAAAGTGACAATAACTGTAACGATAACTACTAGCACTTATTAAAAGAAAGATAATGTCCAGATCTAATAAATACACAATTGTAAGAAATAAACCCAATACCTATATATGGTAGAGCTTTTACAAATGGAGAAAATGAGACTCAGTCTGTGTTCTAGAATTTGATCAAGATCACACTAGCGGTACCCATCAGCACTGGGATATGGACAAAGTTGAACTCCAGAGTCTTCATTCATTACTCTTTTCACATATGCCTCCCATATAAAACAACAAGGATTCAAGTTATCCAGCAAAAAGATAACATTGAAAAGTTGTAGATTCTCTTTTTCTAAGGATATTTTTTAAAAAAGAAAAAACAATACAACCAAAGACTAGAAGGCATTGTGTTATTCTTAGTTGAGTTATGAAAAGAAGTCCTACCTGGAAGTGGGAAAATAAATGGAAAGCAATCTTCTCAAGGTACATTTCAGCCTTCAAGATACTGACCACAGAAACTCTTGAACTTTACTAACATCTACAAGGTATTCTTTGTAGGTAAATTAAAGTGCTGAGGTTTTCAAACTAGAACCTTTTAATTATTATTTAGGTATAGTGGAAAAATGGCTATTTTAAGACAAAGGCATAGAAAGAAATATTTACAATTTCCAAAGTATTCCCACAATTATTATATAAGTTAATTGAATCATTGCAGGTAATACTCTAGCTTACTAGTGGTTCATGAGTTTTCAGCTCATTAACACTGTTTAAATGTACATTATGCCAAATTATACAGAGCAAAAGTTATTGCCCACATTATTTTAAAGATCATAGGAGCAAGAATTAGTTTATGGAGTACCAAAACCAAACCTAGCCTAAAATGTGTATGTGTGTTGATTTTTGTTTACATGCTTTTTAAAGCACATCAAATAGCCGGTAGGATTTATCTCTTTGCTTTAACTGATTGAGAGAACTGATGCAAGCATACTTTCAAAAATTCAATCTTCCCCCAATTTTTTCTTCGACCTTGACCTAGACAGCCAGCCTGACGTACAGAGAAAGAATTCAATCTTGGCCCCCTCTCGAGAGACTTGAACTGCTAACTGGAAAGAAGCACTTTTTGAGGAATAAGAGGGCTGGCTGAACTCTCTGGCCCACTGGGTCTTGGTTAGCACAGAAACAAGTCAGTTCTACTTACCTGAGCAATATCATTTAGATAGTGACACCTTTCTTTGTTAGTGTTCCAGGTTGAGAGTTTGTGCAAAAAGGTGATGACCATAAGGGAGGGCATAGAATCAGTGCTGACAGCCCAGTACACATCCCTACAGTCGAAACGTTTTCCTACAGTGGTGGTTGGTAGAGAGGTATTGTAGGCAGGAATGCTTCTGGAGAGTCAGGAATGATTGTGAGATGGAGGTGAATGGATGAGAACAGGAATTAGATCAGCAGGGCTGGGAGCTGGTGGTGAACATTATATGTTCAATCAATACTGTTAACTACAGTTCCTGTATCATTAAGAAAGATTTAAAGGTATGGATTCTTAAAAGGCTTAGAAAGTGAATTTCATAGATCCTTCCCAGCCTTTGACTAAGGATTTAAAGATATTTTTGTTTTGTTTACTTATTTTTTTGGGACGTGATGAAACACATTGGTTTAAAACACAGGTCTTGAATACAGCCCCTTAGGTTTGAAGCCTATCTCCGGCTCTTTCCATGTTTTCAACCTGGATGACTTATTTAATCTCTCTCTGACTCAGTTTCCTAATATAAGTAAACAAGGGAGTGATAGTATCCACCTCGCAAAGCTGTTGTGAGCATTAACTGAGTTAATGCAAGCAAAATGCTTAGATTGGCTCCTGACACAAACTACTCAACAAATGTTCGCCATTATTCTTTTCTTTTTCTTTTTTTTTTTTTTTTGAGACGGAGTCTCGCTCTGTCGCCCAGGCTGGAGTGCAGTGGCGCGATCTCCGCTCACTGCAAGCTCCGCCTCCCAGGTTCACGCCATTCCCCTGCCTCAGCCTGCTGAGTAGCTGGGACTACAGGCGCCCGCCACCGCGCCCGACTAATTTTTTGTATTTTTAGTAGAGATAGCGTTTCACCGTGTTAGCCAGGATGGTCTCCATCTCTTGACCTCGTGATCCGCCCACCTCGGCCTCCCAAAGTGCTGGGATTACAGGTGTGAGCCACCGCGCCCGCCTGTTCGCCATTATTCCTTTGTCATTGTTATTATTGTTGTTTGTTTAATATACCTAAAAACCATGTAGTAATCCTGATGAAACACAGAATGCAGAGCAGAGTCCCAGGCACATACACATGCAAAAGCAGAATTCACGTCCAACTCTAGACTCCTAAGCCCCAGGAGAATGTCTTGTATATCACATTGCTCTTCACCCTAACTCCGGGGTCCAAAAAAAAAGACAAGCTTGTACAAACTGCCTGGGAACTTGGCCGACCTTCATTATTCAAAGTGGCATCTATTTCACAGGTTGGATTAGGGCTGGGTCTGACCAGGGATCAGACCACTGCTCACTTTTGTCAGGTGCATTAGCTCTCAGACCACTAGGATGCTATTTAGTGCAGGATTAGTCATTTACTAATTACTAATTACTCCAGTGGCCACAGACCGAAGGTCAGCAATTTTCTTCTTTCACACCAGGAGGATCCAGCATAATAGAGGCCAGACAGGTGATTTGCATACTCAAGAGAAGAAGCCACAATAGAAGAAGGCAGAGGAGGATTCTGTGTTGAAAGCAAGCAAAGATGGGCACAATTTGACCGAGCTTCCGTAAACTTCTCATGGGAACACCTGGCTCATTTCTCCTGCTGGGAGATGGCAGGTTCTTGCATTTGATACTTGAATGGGCCAGCTGGGGTAACTGGACAAGGTCTGACTCTGGGCCCCCATCACTTTTGCTGGCTGGCAATTCTTTTCCACCCTGAGCATCTGTAGAGTCATCCAACTGTGTTTGCAAAACTTGGTTGTATGTGAGAAGTGTGTTTGTTTTATGATCAGTGTCTTGGGTTTTAAATAAGAATACTGCAAGAGATGATCCCACTATGATCCTTGTTAATGTACCTCTAGGCTAATAAGTACGGAGATGATCCTGCTCTTTGATTTCATGAATAAGAAAATAAAATGGGAAATGCATGACATTTAAAAAAATTATTGTTATTACTGAGTGTAAAATTTATTTTAACCCTGTCTGTAGTGGCTAAGTTTCAAGTTGAATGTACTGCTTGCCAGATTGTATCTCCTGTTCCTCCTCTCCTTAAATATGTGCTTATTTACTTCCTGCAGAGTTCAATTTTAGAACCCATCAAAGTAGATCCACTCAGACTCTGACTACATTTTCATGCATAAATTCATAGATGTCTTCAGAAGGAATTGCACTTGCATATGCAAATACCTTCTGATGCTTTTTATTTCTACTTTTGGCCTGCACAGTTTTTAATTCATGCAAACACATTACACAAACAAATATGGGCTCAATAACAACATGCGGCATGTGTGAATTGTTAATTGCAAAGCTATGAGTTTGATATGGCCAAGCAACCTCCATTATTATCAATGGAGGGGAACAAGACTAAACAGGAAGAATAAAGGTATATTTGAAAATAAAATCCCAGTCCTTGGTTTTATTTTATGTAAATATTAATAAAGGAAAAGGTGACAGGCCTATCTACAATTCAACAATCATCTGGAATCTACATGTCAGTGCACAATGATCCAGAAGCCAGGATGCACTTTTAATAAAACTTAGGAAGAAAAGTGAACATTTCAGCACAGAATTATGAGACACAAAAACGTATGCAGGAACAACGTAAATGAGACAAAAACTACAGCAGAAAATGAAAGGCTTTGAACCACGTTGAACGTGCATCACCTTTCAAAATATCTGAGTCTCGTGTTAGTGCAGCTCTGGGAAACAACAGAGAGGTGTCCCAATTTTATTATATTGGAAATGTAAGCTCTCTCTCAGTTAATTAAGCCATGATTCTTCATATTTTTTTTCCAATTGCCACTACCTGAAATTTGGGGAATGGTGAGGACTTAACAAAGCAAAAACACTTGTTGAAGTTACAGATCAAAGGCATTTGATCCAGAGCAATTTTCAAGCAGCCTCTGCCCCCATTTTCTCATGGAGGAGGATCAGCATGTGTTTCATTTACATGAAGATAACTCAGAAAATAAGAAGGAAGATTAAATAAAAATTGTATCCTGCAAGAGTTATAATGGCAATGGAAACACAATTCTAACAGTTTCTCTGTTGATTTATTTTTTCAATCCTATGTTAAATATAAAAGCTGAAGCTAGGGTAAACCAGGAGTGTATAAAAAGATGTTATCTACAACAACCTCTGGATTGTAGATTTATAAACCGTGGGCATAGTGCTAATTAATAACATATATACACACATGCACATTTTGTAATAAAAAGTAGTAAAAAGTAGTTTAAGGAAGCTGAGAAACCAGGACTAGAATTCCAAGCTAAGTTATTTCATTAGAAATTAAACCCATTGCAACATTTACTCCCAAGGACATGGAACAAGAAATAAAGAATCAGTGTTATAAAACAAATGAGGCAATAACCTAGCAGAGCAGGGCTTAGCCCTTTGGCACTGGCAGAGTGACCCTTCCCGAGGCATTCGGTACAGTTTTGTGCGTTTGCCTGTAATTTTGCTGAGCCATCAATGTAAAGTGCACACACAGCGAGGCTGGGACTAGTAAGACATGGAGCTAGAGAGTGAGCTTTGTCACACCACCTCTCAGCACTGCTTTGCTTTATTCTACGTGTTGATGCATTTACAGCAACCCTGGAGAAGTGATAACAGAACTCTTTATAAATATTGGACATGAAGAGAGTGCCAACTGTTAGTGCTTGGGAGAAAAATATTCTCCTCCCAAAAGAAATCAAAACAGTATAAGGAAAGGAAAATTAAGACTTGGGGAAAGTAGGAGGGATAATTACATCAGTGGAATTGGAAAATAACATACATGTGGCCACCCATGCTCTGAAACACAAAAAGAGAAACGTATAACTCAGAATTAACATCATATTTTAGTAGAGGGAAAAGGGCGTATTATTATACACTATTTCAAAGATGTTTTAACCAAGATACACCATTTGTTCAAGGAGAATCTAAGTGAGAAACCCAATGGGAAAAGGAATAGAAATTTGAGGCTTGTAAGTGGACTATGAGGAGAATAGTTTTGAGAAACCACAGATAATCTTAGGTTTCTCAGGATAGAGATTCACCATGTTGTTAGGAATGTCCTTTATGGAACCAAGGGTCTGCTGTAGGGTACATCTGTCAAAAACCACCATGCTGGATCTCCAAAAGCAGCCATCAACCATGTAAATCAAGTAAGTTAGACAGTTGAGAGCAAATCAGCAGGGGAAACCCTACAAACCTTGTCTAGGAAACTCATCTGACTCCCGGTGGATGAGGTCTGTGACTCGGTTTCCATAGTGCATCCTGCTGTCATGGTCATAGGCCTTCAGAGTCTCACTGGAGCTGTAGGATTTCTGTGTGGGCACGCGGCAGTCCTCACTGTCCAGAGAGGAGCTTGTGTAGCGACACTCTTTGCCACAGCGTCCTCTGGTCAAAGAGCGGTGTCGCCGGTCCTTTACATCCATTATTCCAGATATGGCAGAATGCTGATGTTTTCAGAAAAGTCAGGCCTGAGTTTTGGCACTTGTCACTTTGCCACCTGAAAACATAGAAGAAAAAACCCAAGACTGTGATTACAAGAAATGCTGCCTTCAGTTCTGATTCATGCTCTGACTCAGACGAAAACATGAACATGCAGCCTTGGTCAGCCCTGCACAATCTCTTTTGCAAAAGTTTAATGTTAACTAAACAATCAGCCTAAATAGAAGAACTCGATACAGTAAATTAATTTTCTTGCTGTTTAATTTAATAGATTTGGAAAAAAATAGTAACAACAAATACTCATCTTTAGATTTTTTGTATGCACAGATGACATGATCAGTCTGTCACTCTAATGCAAGATCTTACTGTGAAGCAATTCAAAGCCAAATTGATCTTATCCTTCTTTAATTACATTCTCTCTATGCTATAGAAGGCTTGGGTAGAAAACAAATACCACCCCCCCTCCAAAAGAAAAAATAAACAAAAGGCAAAGAAAGGTGCAGCAGCAGATTTGAGCATAAGGCATAAATATGTGCTATTAATACTTTGTAGTGATACCAAGTCACATTCAACTAACATAACATTTCCTAGCTTTGTCTGGAGAATAAGAATAAAAGTTGTTCTCGACATGCAAACAATCTTTCTCCAATTTCTTCAACGAGCTTTTGGCAAACTCCCAGTTTTTTCTCCCTTGCAGATCTGTGTCTTGGACACACCTGGTTACTTCTTCTGCCTAGTCACCCACCAACATGATAACTGCTGACAGGCAGTCTTACTGGTACAGCCACCTGATAATCACCCCAAGCCATTCTGTCACCTTCATTGCTGGGATACCCACTATAGAACCGAAAAAAAAAATGAGGAAAGCTGAAGGGAAGGAACCTCTCTAACATATGAACTGGCAACCAGGGAGCCCCACAGTCTGGCATTTGACACCCTCAGACTGGAAGTGTATGCCAAACATCACTCAGAAAACACTCGCCTTCTGCTTAGCAAATATGACCAAAATGCTTAGGCGCCTCCAAGTTCCAAATCATAGGCTCTTATTGATTTCATTTGCCATGCAAAATAGCATAGACCACAGGGCCAGGACCTGGACAGAATGGACAAATACGAATTTTAATTAAAATGGAAAATGCAACCCAGAGCCAGGGCAATGATTTTTCTCCAGGCTACTGTTGCTCACTGCCTCCTCAATATGTCAGGAAATACTTGGGGAGCAGATCTATAGTTTTGAACCCCTCTGCTCTTCCTTGGCTATTTTACCACACTATAATAAGATAGCTATGCACAGCAATGTGGATGACATTTGCCTGCAGACACCAGAAGCCAAGTAGCCCCTCCCTTGTTTTTTCACACCAGGAGTTCTTCTAGATCTCAGGGACCCCCTCCCCCAATCTATACTACGTGTACACTGTATCAAATATTGCCTGTAATTGTGGACAATTTTGTTTGACACTTGGCAATGAAAAAGAGGGTACGATTGGCTGGGCGCGGTGGCTCATGTCTGTAACTTTGGGAGGCCGAGGCGGGTGGATTGAGGTTAGGAGTTCAAGACCAGGTTGGCCAACATAGTGAAACCCCGTCTCTACTGAAAATACAAAAAAAAAATTCGCTGGGCCTGGTGGCGGGCACCTATAATCACAGCTACTTGGGAGGCTGAGGCAGGAGAATTGCTGGAACCCAGGAGGCAGAGGTTGCAGTGAGCTGAGATCTGCCATTGCACTCCAGCCTGGACAACAAGTGTGAAACTCCATCTCAAAAAAAAAAGAAAAAGAGGGTACAAATATTATGATCTTCAAGCACAGTCTTGGTGCTGCCTCAGTTGCTCATAAGAAAGCACAAGCAGTAGCTAGCTTGCTGGACTCTGGAGTCTCTCACTCAGCAAGTTCAGAAGTGCCTTTGAGAGTCATGACCCCAGGACCTGCTTAGAGGACATTAAGTAGTGTTTTTGCATGTCAGTTTTTGCTGTGGCATAGTCAGTTCAAGTGTCTCCACATTAAGGCAATTACTAGATGCCCAAATCCCCTTCCCTAACTTCTAACATGCAGTTTCAACATTTTGGAATCTGTAGGTTATTTAAGAGCATGGCCATTGAAGTCTTAATTGGATGCCAGTCCTACCATGACCACTGGTGAGGCAGAGTCCTTGTCAAAATTATTCCTGGTCTTTTGAACTCAGTTTCTCAATCAGCTGAAATAGAAAATAATAGTATCTACTTCACAGAGTTTTTGTAGAAAATAATAGCATCTACTCCACAGAGTTTTTGTAAAAATTAAAATATACATGGTGGTAAAATTCCTAATATACTATCTAACACATCATAGGGGCTCAATTAAAATTAGTTTTTATTCTCCTCTGAATGATTTTAAAAATGTTTTTTTCTTAGCTAAGGAGTTACAGACTTGCATAAGACAGAGGAGGAAGATGACGATATAAATCCCTGAAACTCACAGTTCTAATAATAAATCCTAATTCTTAAGCTAGGCTCCAATAAAGGAAGACTTTCAGCATCTACTGAAAGAATATAAGACTGTGTACCAACACTGAGGAGCCACAGGTGGTTTTATGGGGAGTTGAGTATTTTGAGTCACTTTGATGATTTTCTTCTCTCTTGCTTCACTGTTAGTTTTTAATTTCAATATCTTCAGTGTTCCTGACTCATGAAATCCTATCTTCTCTAATTTGCATTGTGCTTGGGAAAGTAGACTGACTTTCTGCATATGTGTATGTATGCGTGTGTATGCTTTTATTTTAGTTTTTAAATCATGCTCAGAGTGGAAGCTTAAAGGCTTATAACTTTTTTTTTTTTTTTTTTTTTGAGATGGAGTTTTGCTCTTGTTGCCCAGGTTGGAGTGCAGAGGCGTGATCTCCGCTCACTGCATCCTCTGCCTCCCGGATTCAAGCGATTCTCCTGCCTCTGCCTCCCAAGTAGCTGGGATTACAGGTACCCACCACCACACTTGGCTAATTTCTTGTATTTTTAGTAGAGACGGGGTTTCACCATGTTGGCCAGGCTGGTCTTGAACTCCTGACCTCAGGTGATCTGCTCGCCTCGGCCTCCCAAAGTGCTGGGATTACAGGCGTGAGCCACTGTGCCCGGCTGCAAGGCTTATAACCTATTAATAAAGTTCAAGAACTTTAGTGTTTGGACATTTTGACATCTAATGTGGTTGCTCAGATATCTTTTCCTGATAAATTTCTCTTTCTTGGCTCTGCCCTTGATAGTTAACTTTGTCAGCAATATCACCTCTGGATAAATGATGGAAAATTATATATAATGAGATAAAAATTCACAAATCTCAGTCAGAGAAACTAAATTCCTTAAGGAGCTAGGCAAAGCTCACGGACTGTTGGCAAATAGACATTTTGTATTTAGCCTGCCTGTTACTTAAAAACTGATTGTCAGCCTGGTGCGGTGGCTCACGTCTATAATCCCAACACTTTGGGAGGTCGAGGAGGGTGCATAACGAGGTTAGGAGTTCAAGACCAGCCTGGCCAAGATGAGGAAATCCCGTCTCTACTAAAAATGCAAAAAAAAAAAAAAATAGCCAGGCGTGGTGGCAGGTGCCTGTAATCCCAGCTACTCAAGATGCTGAGGAAGAGAATTGCTTGAACCCGGAAAGCGGAGGTTGCAGTGAGCCAAGATCGTACCACTGCACTCCAGCCTGGGCAACAGAGTGAGACTCCATTTCAAAAAAAAAAAAACATTGATTGTCAGTATTAAAAGACAAAATGGAAGAATTATATATGAAAATCTGGATTCTTATCTTTAAAAATCAGGCAGACTATAAATGTCTGCTTCCAGAAAGATGGAATAGACATACTTTTCCCTATTTTCCCTACAAGGTACAGCTAAAAGCCCTGAACATTATAAATAAAACATGTAAGATTATGAAAAGTAGAAAGAAGAGCAGAACAATGAGGGGCCTCAGGACCCAAGGAACAACAGTGGTGAGTTCCCTGGGGTTTCTTTTTGCCATATATATGGCAAAAAGAAATTAGATAGATGACAGATAGATAGATAGATAGATAGATAGATAGATAGATAGATAGATAGATAGACAGACAGATAGACAGACAGATAGATATAGATATCCCAGACATGGAGCTGGCAACCCAGAGATCTCAATGGGCACAGACAACAAAAGTGAGCCTCCTATATAGCCAAAGGACTATGAAAAGGGGCAGGCTCACAAGAAAGAAAATGTTGAAGCAATGACTACCCTACTCCAGCCACACACCATGGAAACCAACTGTGGCCCCACCCCAATCTTCACAAGCAAAGACCAAGTGGAAAGCTTGCCCTTCCATGAAAATGAGGCTGCAAGTAGACACCAACCTCAACCACAGTACAGGAGAGCCAGGACTTTCAGCCCCTTCCAGGAAATAGTGAAGCTCTCCTCTTCACAGGGTGCTGTCGTCCACCCCCACTGAGCATAAACAAGGCACTCCTCCCCTTCTCCACTGGAGTGGTGTGGAAGAATGTTTAGGAGAGTCAGAACTTTTCACCATCCTTCTGTGGTAAGTCCTCTTGCCCCCTGCGGTGTAAGCAGATGCCATGTAGTGCAGTGCTGAAGCATTCCTACTCCTACCACCCAGAGAGGTATCACTGCGTGTCTCATGGGGAGCCAGAACTTCCATTCCTCTATCCCTGGGTTGGCTTCCCCCTTGGCATCTGAGAAGAAACTCCCTGCCTTTGAATGTTGACAGAAGCTGAGCAGGGAATTTGGCAGTAATGAGGTAGGTTCCTCCTTCCTCTGTCAACAGCAATGTCAGAGAAAATCAGCTAAAATAGAAGGTTTAAGTAAGAGCCAGAGTCTCATAACATGATATCCCAAATGTCCAGGTTTCAATAAAAAATCACTTGTCATACCAAAATCCAGGAAGTTCTTAAACTGAAAGGAAAAACGCATTCAATAGATGCCAACGCTGAGATGACAAAGATGTCAGCATTATCTGATATAAGCAGCCATCATGAAATTGCTTCAATGGACAATTATGGGCACACTTGAAACAAATGGAAAACAGAAAGTCTCATCAAAGAAATAGAAATTCTCAGGAACCAAATAGAAGATGTAAAGAAGACCCCAGTGAAAATTTCAGAACTGAAATATACAATAACCCAAAACAAAACAAAACTCTTGATAGATGGTAGATTGACTTAACAGCAAAGAGGAGGCAAAAAGACAAGAATGAGAGAACTTGCAAATAATCAGTAGAAATTACCCCAATATATACAACAGAAGAAAGAAGGAAGGAAGGAAGGAAGGAAGGAAGGAAGGAAGGAAGGAAGGAAGGAAGGAAAGGAAGGAAGGAAAGAAAGAGAAAGAAAGAAAGGAAGAAGGGAAGAAGGGAAGGAAGAAAGATAGAAAGAAAGAAACTAACTAACTAACTTAGGGACCTGTAGGGTGATGATAAAATACCTAATGTTCATGTCATCAGAGTCCCAGGAGGAGAAAGAAGGAGGGGCTGGAAAAGTGCTGAAAATGTAGCTGAATATATCCCAACTTTGCAAAAGGCATAAAATACCTATTCAAAAAGCTGAGTGAGTCCCATGCAGGACAAATCCAATTGCATCCATAGTCAAACTTCTGAAAACTAAAGGCAGTGAAAAAATATTGAAAGGGTGAGAAAAAACAATACAACTGATCGATAGGGGCAAATGATCTGAACGAAAGTGGACTTATTATCAGAAACCATGGAGGTCATTAGAAAGTAGCAAACATTTTTCAAGTACTGAAATAAAAGAATCTTCAAACTACAATCCTACATCCAATGAAAATATCCTTCTGGAATGAAATAAAGTTCAAGAAATTATCAGATGGAGGACAATTAAGAGACTTGGTCAACAGTAGACCTATTTTTAAAAATAGCTAAAGAGTTAGTTCTCTAAATAGAAAGGAAACCATAAAAGGAGGAATCTTGGAATACCAAGAGTTAGCGAGAATGTGGAAAGCAAAAATATGAGCAAATGTAATAAACTTTCTCCTTTTGAGTTTTTAAGAATTTTTTGATAGTTGAAGCAAAAATTAAAACACTCTGGGATATGATTCTAAACGTATGTAGAGAATATATTTAATAAGTTATATTATAAATAGGGGAGGGTCAGAGAATGTAAAGGAAGGGAAGGCTTCCACACTTTATTCAAACTAGTAAAATGATGAAAGGAGTAGACTGTGATAAGATACGTATGTACAATGCAGCAACTACAAAAGCTATACAAAGAGATGTACTCAAAATTACTATAGGTAAGTAAAACTGGAGCCCTATAAACCGTTCAGTAACCCATAAGGAAGTGGGAAAAATAAAACAGAGATACGAAAAGTACAGAGAATGTGAGAACAAAAAGAAAATTAAAAATAAAAGGGCAAACTTAAGCCCTAAAATAGCAATGCTTTTTTAAATGTAAATGGTCTTAATATATTGATTAAAAGACAAAGACTGGCAAAGTGAATTAAAAACATGACCCATCTCTATGGTGTCAATAAGAAAGTTATTTTATTTCATTTTATTTTTTGACAAGGTCTCATTCTGTCACCCAGGCTGGAGTGCAGTGGCACAATCACAACTCACTGAAGCCTTGACTTCCCAGACACAAGCGATCTTCCTGTCTTAACTTCCTGAGTAGCTGGGACTACAAGCGTGTGCCACCATGCCTGGATAATTTGTGTATTTTTTATGGAGATGGAATTTTGCCATGTTGCCAAGGCTAGTCTTCAACTCCTGGGCCCAAGAGATCTACCCACCTCAGCCTCCCAAAGTGCTGGGATTACAGGCATGAGCCACCATGCTCCACCAAGAAAGTCATTTTATATATAACAATCCAGGCACATTGAAAATAAAACAAAACAAAACAAAAAGGTATCATGCAAACATCAATCAAAAGAAAGGAGGAATGACTATACTAATATTGGATAAAGTGAACCTTACAGGCAAAGAAATTACTAGAGACAGAAAGGAGCATTATAAAAGGGTAAATCTTCCAAGAGGACATGGACATGGCAATTCTAAATATGTATGACCACAAAAAACATATCTGCAAAATATGTGAAACAAAAAAATGATATAACTGAAAAAAATTTTAATGCACAATTGTATTTGAGTTTTCAACACCCAGGTCTTCAAAATTAATAGAATATTTAAGTGGAAAAATCAGGAAGGATATAGAAGATCCCAACAACACCATAAGCCAACAAGATAAATCAGCGTTTACAGAATTCTCCTCCCAACAACAACAGGTTATAAATCTTTCTCAAGTGGCCATGGAGTGTATATCAATATAAAACCATATCTTGGATCATAAAACATACCTCAAAAATTTTTAAAGAATTGAAATCATACAGAGTATGTTCCCTGACAACAATGGAATAAAACTAGAATCAGTAATAGAAAATAAGAAGAAAATCTCCACACACTTGAAAAGTAAACAACACTCTTCTAAATAATCCATGGGTCAAAGAAATTCTAAAGGAAAAAATCAAAATATACATTAAAGTGAATAAAAATGAAACTACAATATCAGTATTTGCAGGATACAGTTAAAGCGGTGATGAAAGGGAAGGTTATAGAAGTAAATGCATACACTGGACAACAGAAAAAGCCTCAAATCAATAATATAAGCTCCCATTTCAAAAACAATGAAAAAATAAGAAGAAAAAGACATACTCAATGCAAAAAAGGGGAGGGAATAATAAACATAAGACCCAAATCAATGAAACTGAAAACAGAAAAACAACAGAGAAAAACAATTAAAAAGTTGTTTCCTTGAAAAGATCAATAAGAATGACAAACCTCTAGGAAGGCTGACAAAGAAAAAATGGAGGACACAAATTATCCACATCAGGAATAAAACAGGAGGTATCATTACAGGCCCTGAAGACATGAACAAGATAATTAGAGAATATAGCTGGCCCACCATATCCATGGGTTTTGCCACATCAGATTCAATCAGCCTCATATTCCACCAACTGTGGATCAAAAATATTTGGGAAAAATAAAAAATAACCATACAACAATAAAAAATCATACAAATAAAAATCAATACAGTATAACAAAACTATACATAGCATTTACATTGTGTTAGGTATTATAAGTAATCTAGAGATGATTTAAAGCATACAGAAGGATGTGCATAGGTTATACGCAAATCTACCATTTCATATAAGAGACTTGAGTATTTGTGGATTTCAGTATCTGTGCGACATCCCGGAACCAATCCCCTGTGGATGCTGAGAGGTAATTGTACTACAAACAGATCTATACACAATATAACTTTGACAAATGGACTAACTTCTCAAAAAACTCAAAAAACTCAAATATTTCATATGACAACTCATCTCATAT